>NC_000004.12:112709259-112860774 GCF_000001405.40 Homo sapiens
ATTTCGTGGACATCAGCCCATGTTTATTCTTCATTCATTTTCTAACTTTGTAAAAGAAAAGATGAAGAAATGGTTGTTTTGCAATAGTTTGTCTGTATATGTCATATACATTAAAGGACCCATATGACTCTTATGGCCATTTCCAGAGAATTTAAATCAAAGTTAAATGCGTACTTACTGAGATTATGACATATAAGATATATTGAAGGCCGGGCACAGTGGCTCATGCCTGTAATCCCAGCACTTTTGGAGGCCGAGGTGGGAGTATCGCCTGAGATCCGGAGTTCGAGACCAGCCTGGCCAACATGGTGAAACCTGGCCTCTACTAAAAATACAAAAATTAGCTGGGTGTGGTGGCAGGCACCTGTAATCCCAGATACTCAGGAGGTTGAGACAGAAGAATTGCTTGAACCCAGGAGGCGGAGGTTGCGGTGAGCTGAGATTGAGCCACTGCAGTCCAGCCTGGGTGACAGAGCAAAACAGTCTCAAAAAAGAAAAAAAGAAAAGATATGGTGATAGCATCTATCTGGACCTTACCATCTTTTTGACAAACTCTGATGGGTGTTATCATGGCATTGATTGCTGTGAGACTTGGAAGAGCTTTAAGACCGTCTGTCATTGGTGCCAGAAAACTTCAGTGTCATTCTCTTGTTTCTTCATCAATCCTTCCCCATGGTCTCTGGGTATTGGTGTCATATCATTTATGGCACCAAACTAGTGTTCCTTCATTCTTTGCTGTGGAAACATTGAGACCTCCCATGTGGTAATACTGAAATATTTACAGTGAGCCAAGCATGGTGCTGAGCGAGGCATAGTTTTCACAACAATCCTGTGAAGGAGATATTATTCCCATTTTCTAGACAAGAAAACGTGGGTTTAGAGAAACTGAGCTACATACTCAAGTTCATAGTTAGGAAATTGGAAGTTAGGGATTTAAAATGTGGTCTTAATGATGCCTTACTTTGCAATCACTGTTACTTACTATCTTCTTCTAATTTTCAGGGCTTGTGACTATTAAAGAACTCCTCTGTTACTCCTAGCTATCTATAATTATTCTCATGGAGTTCTGCTTTGAGTTACTCGGATTTAACTATAGTATTTACGGTAGAGTTGAAGTAATTTTCATTACTCAAATCCATCAGGAGAATAGCTTGGGCCAGGCCAGGTGGCTCACGCCTGTAATCTCAGCACTTTGAGAGACTGAAGCGAGCGGATTGCCCGAGGTCAGGAGTTCAAGACCGGCCTGGCCAACATGGTGAAACCTCATCTCTACTATGAATACAAAAAAATTAGCTGGGCTTGGTGGCGGGCGCCTGCAATCCCAGCTACCCGGGAGGCTGAGGCAGGAGAATAGCTTGGACTCAGGAGGTGGAGGTTGCAGTGAGCCGAGATTGCACCACTGCACTCCAGCCTGGATGACAGAGCAAGACTCCATCTCAAAAAAAAAAAAAATGCTTGAATTCCATTTTCACTTCTGTGTTCTCTAAAAGAACATTTTTCCAGCATCATGGTTGCTGAGAGGAGTGACTAAAGCTTTCAGTTACCTTTTGCCTCCACTGGGAGCTCCTCAATTATTTGTGCTGGTCCTGAGAAAAATATTTCTGAGAATGAATGGGTTAATGGAGAATCTTTTTGAACAGGTTTTATATATATATATATATATATGTATATATGATTACATTTATATTTATTTATTTATTTTTTATTATAAATAGAGGTGATATTTTACTATGTTGTCCAGGCTGGTCTCAAACTCCTCAGCTCAAGTGATCCTTCTGCCTCAGCCTCCCAAAGTGCTAGGATTACAGGTGTGAGCCACTGCGCCTGGCCAGGCTTACATTTTTAAAGGATTTTTCATTCTTTCTTTTTTTTTCTCTTAAGAGTTGGGGTCACCAGGCACAGTGGCTCACGCCTGTAATCCTAGCACACTGTCTCAAAAAAAAAAAAAAGTCAGGGTCTCTCTGTACTGCCCAGGCTATGGGCAGTGCAGTGGGGTGCAGTGGTTATTCACAGGTGCAGTCGTTCTGCATTATAGCCTCAAAGGCCTGGGCTCAGGAATTTGCGACCAGCCTGGGCAACATGGCAAAACCCTATCTTTACAAAAAATACAAAAATTAGCTGGGTATGGTCGTGGGTGCCTGTACTCCCAGCTACTTGGGAAGCTGAGGTGGGATGATTGCTTGAGCCGGGGAGTTCAAGATTGCAGTGAGCTGTGATCATGCCACTGCACTCCAGCCTGCATGACAGTGAGACCCTGTCCAAGAAAAACACAACAGGCCGGGCATGGAGGCTCAAGCCTGTAATCCCAGCACTTTGGGAGGCCAAGGTGTGTGGATCACCTGATGTCAGGAGTTCGAGACCAGCATGACTAACATGGTGAAACCCTGTCTCTACTAAAAATACAAAAAAAATTAGCCGGGTGTAGTGGAGGGCACCTGTAATCCCAGCTACTTGGGAGGCTGAGGCAGGAGAATTGCTTGAACCCAGGAGACGGAGGTTGCAGTGAGCCGAGATCATGCCATTGCACTCCAACCTGGGCAACAGAGTGAGACTCTGTCTCAAAAAAATAAAATAAAATAAAAATAAAAATAAAAAATAAAATTAAAAAAAGAAAAAGAAAAAAGAAAAGCACAACAAACAAATGCCTGGGTTCAAGCAATCCTCTTGCCTTAGCTACTCGGGTAGCTAGGACTACAAGCAAGCCTGTGCCACTGCACCTAGCAGTTTCTTCTATTATTAATTGCATTCTTTGTATATTTTTGTCAAGATGTTACATACATACACACACACACACACATATATATATATATATTTATTTTTATTTATTTATTTATTTATTTTGAGACAGAGTCTCACTTCGTCCTCTAGGCTGGAGTGCAGTGGTGCAGTCTCGGCTCACTGAAACCTCTGCCTCTCGGGTTCAAGCTATTCTGCCTCAGACTCCCGAGTAGCTGGGACTACAGGCATGTGCCACCATGCCTGACTAATTTTTGTATTTTTAGTAGAGATGGAGTTTCACTATGTTGGCCAGACTGGTCTCGAACTTCTAACCTCAGGTGATCCACCCACCTTGGACTCCCAAAGTGCTGGGATTACAGGTGTGAGCTACCGCACCCAGCCAAGATGTCATATATATATATATATATATTTTTTTTTTTTTTTTTTTGAGATGGAGTTTCGCTCTGTCGCCCAGGCTGGAGTGCAGTGGCGTGATCTCGGTTCACTGCAAGCTCCGCCTCCCGGGTTCACGCCATTCCCCTGCCTCAGCCTCCCAAGTGGCTAGGACTACAGGCGCCTGCCACCATGCCCAGCTAATTTTTTGTATATTTAGTAGAGATGGGGTTTCACCGTGTTAGCCAGGATGGTCTCGATCTTCTGACCTCATGATCCGCCCACCTTGGCCTCCCAAAGTGCTGGGATTACAGGCATGAGCCACTGCGCCCGGCCAAGATGTTATATTTTTAATTTTTATTTTATAAAAAGTATTTGAGTTACAGCACAGGAAAATTTATTTTAGACAGTGAAGGGATGACAGTCACAGGCAATAAATAAATATAGTTATGTATTGACATTATTAATTTAGGTTTTTAAATTTTGTTTTTTAATAGACATATAGTAAAATTCACTTTTTATATAGTTTAATGAGTACTGACAAATACTTAAGAGTCGTGTAACCATCACCACAATCTAGGTAGAGAATAGTTCTATCTCCCTGAAAATTTCCCTCATGCTAATCCTACTGTAGTCAAACAAAGGCTTCTCCTACCTTCAATTCCTGATAGCCACTGATCTGTTCTCTGTCCATATAGTTTTGCCTTTCCAAGAATGTCAGATAAATGAAATTACCTAGAATAAAACCATTTAAAATTGATTTTTTTCAATCAGCATAGTGCCTGTAAACAGGTCCCTCTAAGTGTCTTGCATGTGTAAACATTTTGTTCCTTTTTATTGCTGAGTAGTATTCCATCGTATGGGTGCACCACTGCCCGGCCATTCACCAGATGAAGAACATTTGGGTTGTTTCCAGGTTGGGGCAGTGATGAATGAAGTTGCTATATAAAACACTTTGGAAGGCCGAGGTGGGCAGATCACCGGAGGTCGGGCATTCGAGAGCAGCCTGACCAACATGGAGAAACCCTGTCTCTACTAAAAATACAAAATTAGCTGGGCGTGGTGGCGCATGCCTGTAATCCTAGCTACTCGGGAAGCAGAGGCAGGAGAATCGCTTGAACCCTGGAGGCGGAGGTTGCGGTGAGCTGAGATCGCGCCATTGCACTTTAGCCTGGGCAATAAGAGTGAAACACCGTCTCAAAAACAAAAAAAATTGGTATGGATTTTTTGTGTGAAGCATGTTTTTATTTCTCTTGGGTGTGCACCTAGGAATATAAATTTTGGATTATATAGTAAGTATATGTTTAACTTAATAAGAAACTGGCCCGAGGCGGGCGGATCACGAGGTCAGGAGATCGAGACCATCCTGGCTAACACAGTGAAACCCCGTCTCTACTAAAAATGCAAAAAAAAATTAGCCGGGCGTGGTGGCAGGCGCCTGTAGTCCCAGCTACTCGGGAGGCTGAGGCATGGGAATGGCGTGAACCCGGGAGGCGGAGCTTGCAGTGAGCCAAGATCTCGCCACTGCACTCCAGCCTGGGCGACAGAGCGAGACTCCGTCTCAAAAAAAAAAACAAAAAAAAAAACTGTCAAACTATTTTCCAATGTGACTGTGTTGCTGCTTTTACATTCCTTCCAACAATGAATTAGAGTTCTTATTGCTCTGCGTCCTTGTCAACATTTGATGTTGGCATTTTGTTGTTTTAGTCATTCTAATAAGGGTGTAGAGACACTTCTTTGTGGATTTAATTTGTATTTCCCTAATGACTAATGATGTTGAATACTTTTTATGTACTTATTTGACATCCTTTAGTTTTCTTTACTTTTTTTGAGATGGAGTCTTGCTCTGTTGCCCAGGCTGGAGGGCAGTGGTGGGATCTTGGCCCACTGCCATCTCCACCTCCTGGGCTCAAGCAATCCTTCTGCCTCAGCCTCCCAAGTAGCTGGGACCAGAGGCACACGCCACCATGCCTGGCTAATTTTTGTATTTTTAGTAGAGATGGGGTTTTGTCATGTTGGCCAGGCTGATCTTGAACTCCTGGCCTTGAGCAATCTACCCACCTTGGTCTCCCAAAGTGCTGGGATTACAGGCGTGAGCCACCGCACCCAGCCTTAAAACATTATTTATACAATTTCCCATTTAAACATCATATGAAGCTACAAGACAAGCACTCATTTCTAGAAGGAAGGCTGTTTATGAAAGTGAACTGCATACAATAAAACTATATCAAAAAATCAAATGAAAAAAGACAAAGTAATATGTCACATCTCATACCCTACTTGATGAATACAGAGAGTTCCCAGAGGCTTTAAAAAAACAATTTCTAAATCGGCTACATTGAATATGAGCAATAAAATGAGAAATAAATAGGGACTTTAAGCTTCATTCACTACAAGGTTTGGAGACGTTTAGCATTTTATGTTTTTATAAAGGGGTATTATATGGGTAGATTATGGTATATTAAGGAGCTAATTATCTGTTTCTAGTGACACGTATAGCCTTGAGTTCACTAGCCTGTAAACCTAGCTTTTATCACAAGGATATATAAATAGTTTCAATTATCAATTGCTACATAACAAACCCCATCAAACATAGTGGCTTCAAACAACAATAATCATGTGTTTTGCTCATTAATCTGCAATTGGGTAGGGGTTGGTAAGGATATGAGGAATCAGCTGGGGTGACTAGAAGGCTGGAGGTGACTCCATGACTGGAGCAATAATCATCTAAGATTTGCTCAGTCACACGTCTGGTGACCAATACTACCTGAGGGTGTCAGCTAGAACACCTATATAAGTCCTCTCTGTGTGGATCTTGGCTTCCTTGCAGCGCGGTGATTGGGTTCCAACAGTAAAAGTCCCAAGAAATTGCGGCAGAAGTAAAAGGCATCCTTAAGACCTAGCCTTAGAAATCACAGGTTTCTTTTGTCATACTCTTGGTGAGGCAGTCTCATGGGTTCACCTAGATTCAGTGGTAGGGGACGTACATCCCACTATTCCATGGGAGGGATGGATATTAACATCATATTATAAAAATAGCATGTGGGAGGGATATTGGCCACCTTTGAAAATATGATCTACCACAGAGTGAGAACTAGGTTAACACAAATAAGCTGGTATCAAACAGGACTTAGCACGTTATTTTTGTCATCGGATCAGGAGGTAACACAGATGTGATAAGAACTAGTTACAAACATTTCACAGGAAATATTTCCTCACTTAAATCTTCATAAATCACTACATGCAAATGCTGTAGTTCTGCTGTTTACCTTCCTTTTGATTGTTCAGTCGCCTTGTACTCGGGCTCTGTGCTTTGAGTTTGGAGAGTGTTACACAGTACCACCCTCAGACACAAGCTCTAAGCTCTAGAACTTCTCACTCTGGGCTCCTTCCAACCACACTTTTTCCTACTGAATGAGGAAGGCATGGGACCAGGGGACTTGCTCACATAGGGCCTGCACTTTTTCTTTGCAGCTATGGAGGTGGAGGTTTTAGTGAGCCGAGATTGCGCCACTGCACTACAGCCTGGGCAACAAAGCGAGACTCCCATCTCAAAATTAATAAATGAATAAATAAACAATAAAATGTACAAAATACATTTTGCTTGATACCTGGCAGTTGGTTTATACTAAATGATTTTAACTATTGTTGTTATATGATAAATGCACAATAAATGTCAGCCTCTTCCCTTCCCCAAGGACAGCACTACAAGGAAGGACAGCCATTTGCCTGAGGATTAGACACGGAAGTCAGAAATGAGGTTTGCACAGCCCCCCTAGTTCCTATCTGAGTAACTCTGAGTAAATTATATAATCTGGCTAAACTTTAGTTTTATAATGTATTAAATGGCAGTAACCATAATTCCATCTCACAGGTCCATTATTATTATTTTTTTCTTTTTTATATATAGAGACAGGGTCTTGCTATGTTGACCAGGCTGGTCTCGAACTTCTATTCTCAAGCAGTCCCTCCAACCTTGGCCTCCCAAAGTGCTGGGATTACAGGTGTAAACCACCACACTGGGCCTCATTGGTCCATCATTAATCTCTAATGGTATAATGTTAGTGTAAGTGCTTTCAAAATAATAAAATACTATAGGTGTATATGCTATTGTGAAAAAATATGTAATTTTGATTTCAATTGTTTATATCGTAAGCCTTCTGGTTAACTAAATGTCCCTTATTCTAATAGTCTTTTTGGTAGAGATGGGGGCCTCCTATATTGCCCAGGCCGGAGTGCAGCGATGATTCATAGGCATGATCATAGTGCACCACAGCCTTGAACTCCTGGGCTCAAGTGATCCTCCTGCCTCAGCCTTCTGAGTAAATGGTACTATAGGCTTACAGCACTGCACCTGGCCTCTAATAATCTGTAAACATGATTTTATTGTACTTTTTTTTAATTGAAGAAGTTATACAAGAATGTGGTAATAACATCACATATTTATAGATGGATATGTGGGAAAAGTAAACCTTACTCCAAAACAAAACACTGCAACCCCCCTTTCCCCGTTTTGTTTACATAAATGGGAGCCTACTATCCACATTGCTTTACATCATGCCTTTTTAATAATAATTAAAGGAAGACCTGGGTGATTGTCAAGTGCTACATCTGGAATTTATTTTTCCTTTTAATGAAATTAAGCAAACATTCTTTTGTTTTACCTGAGCAGGTCTAAAAACAGTTTCATTCTTTTCAATGCTTTATTTCACTAGACTAATATACAAGTTATTTATCGTAACAGTTTTCCTTTATAATGAATGGTATCTTGCCAGGCACTTGGTATTAAAAGCCAGACTCTTGGAAATGTGGTTCTTCAAATCCATTAACCTTTATTCTACTCTTATCATAATAAATGTAGAAGCTGCCTGTCATTTTTCTGCAGTGTATTATCTAATATATATTGGGCTTGTGTGACCTTTTTTTTCTGATTGTCCTAAAAGATGCGCTTATTAAACTATTTTCCTACAAGTTTTATGAATACTGAATTTCTCTTCTGCTATCTGTCTGCACTTTAACTTCATAAGGTTATTTTGCCTTAGTTCATTTTGGAATTGAGCAAATCAAATAAACTCTTTCTGAGACTGCCCAATGTAATGAATGATAGATAATAGTGAACATGAAGGAAAATGATAGATGCATCGTACTGTGATATTCCTTAAATTGTGTGAGCTTGTAGATTTCAGAGTAATAGACATATTTAATACAAATTATAAGGACTAATCACTTCATAATGCCAGTTTATAAGGAAAAATGTTTATTTTATGAATTTATACCACTGAGCTAAACATAATATCTAACAAGCCAATATGCTTTAGTGCTATTACCTATCCAAGATAGTTACCAAGTACTTGTATAGCTTTGCTGGAAGTGCTTAGACAGTTTCTTAGACAACAATGAATATTTACTTTAAAAAAAAAATATTTATAAATATAAAAAGCTAAAATGTACAAAAGTACCAGGGCTATTGACTAAATTAGACTTCTAATTGGATAAGAGACCTTGTATGCCAACTTAGAAAATCTTATCTCTCTTTCTGATAAAAACTTGGATGATTATATAGCTGACTTAGTTCTTTCATCTGACAGTACAAAATGTTTTATGCATGAATGCCTCTTTTATAGACACCTTCTTCAGTTATAAAAGAGAACCAGGAACACACATCCACTTCTAAACATTTGCATTCTCACATATTCTTGCCTTCTTCCTTCCTGTTTCAGCAGAAGAATTATCCTGACCTTGATCACATTCTCTCCTGCCTATTCTAGGACTTTCCTCTGTTTAGAAGGTGTTGTTGTTTTCCGCAATTCTTTTGTCTTCACTAGTTATAGAGAATGGGGCAAGGCTGAGCCTGACAGTGAGGTTAAAGAAACCCAGTTGATGGGGAGACAAGGATGCTTTAGTTAAGTATTTAGTAAGTGGATAGCCCTCATCCTATTAGACTTCTTAATTGTTTTTGTTTTTCGGACAGTCTTGCTCTGTTGCCCAAGCTGGAGTGCAGTGATGTGATCTTGGCTCACTGCAACCTCTGCCTCCCAGGTTCAAGCAAATTTCCTGCCTCAGCCTCCTGAGTAGCTGGGATTACAGGCACCCACCACCACGTTAACTAATGTTTTTATTTTTCATAGAGACATGGTTTCACCATGTTGGCCAGGCTGGTCTTGAACTCCTGACCTCAGGTAATCTGCCTGCCTCAGCCTTCCAAAGTGCTGGCATTATAGGCGTGAGCCACTGGGCCTGGCCTACTTCTTAGCAGTTTTTATTTATTTTTTATTTTTATTTTTGAGACGGAGTTTCACTCTTGTTGCCCAGGCTGGAATGCAATGGTGCAATCTCAGCTCACTGCAACCTCTGCCTCCCAGGTTCAAGTGATTCATCTGCCTCAGCTTCCCAAGTGGCTGGGATTACAGGCATGTGCCACCACACCTGGCTAGTTTTGTCTTTTTAGTAGAGACGGGGTTTCTCCATGTTGGTCAGGCTGGTCTTGAACTCCTGACCTCAGGTGATCTGCCCACCTCGGCCTCCCAAAGTACTGGGATTACAGGCATGAGCCACCGCACCCGGTCGCATGAGCCACCGCTCCCGGTCAGCAGTTTTTATTCTGTTGACCATTTCTTCCTTCCTGAAGCTCTTCTCATTAGGACTATAGATTACCATTCATATATTCAACATCTGAAATAAAGATGCTTATACTAACTGAGCTCTGTGTGTGTCAGCTCTGTGACAAATTCTTTACATGTATTATTTCATCCTCCCATCCATTTGATGAGATAGGACAATAATCACTCTAATTTAAAGAAACCAGGCTTAGTAGTTTGCTGAAGATCATGCAGTCAAGGAAATGGTAGAGAAAGGGGTTCATGTCCACATGTGTTAGTTATCAAAGCTTGTGTCCTTAAACAGTGCATGTAATACCACCTCCTCATGCCAGGTATCATGTTGGGGCCTGGAAGTAAGGAGGTGAAAACACCTCAGATACAGAGGGGAAAACACTTAGTACTCAGGGAACTATGATACAGTGGAAAAACCAACTAAGCAGATAGAATGTGATGATTTCAATAAAGAAGGTATAATTCGGCCGGGCACGGTGGCTCAATCCTGTAATCCCAGCACTTTGGGAGGCCGAGGTGGGTGGATCACGAGGTCAGGAGATCGAGACCATCCTGGCTAACACAGTGAAACCCCGCCTCTACTAAATATACAAAAAATTAGCCAGGCGTTGTGGTGGGCGCCTGTAGTCCAAGCTACTCGGGAGGCTGAGGCAGGAGAATGGCGTGAACCCAGGGGGCGGAGCTTGCTGTGAGCTGAGATCGCCGATTACACTCCAGCCTGGGCGACAGAGCGAGACTCCGACTCAAAAAAAAAAAAAAAAGAAGGTATAATTCAAAGCAGTGGAGGCCTCTGCTTGGGGACTTCAGCAAAGGCTTCAAACAGAAGCTGGTGCTTGAAGGAAGAGTAAGAGCTTGCAACCTAAGATAGAAAGGGAATATCAGAGGAAACAGGAATTGCAAAGGCTTGGAAGTAGAAAGCATACGGCATTTTAGGCATTTTAGGGAGTTATCAGAAGTTCTGAATGGCTGGAGCACAGTTTTGGGGGAGGTGGCAGGATATGAGACTGGTGAGTTAGTCAACAGCCGGATCCTAAAGAGCTGTACTTATTATCATGACTTATTCATGGTTTTCCTACCAGCGTTCTTTATCATTCTCCTCTATCACTTCCTCTTCCTTCACTTGTTCTTTAAACATTAATGTCAACCAGGGTTCTACTTTCCATCTCTGATTTTCATCTCACATATTTATATTTCTTCCCAGACCAATTATCCACTCCTGTAGCTTCTATTACTACCATACGTTGATGTCTCCTCAACAGCATCTTTAGTGTAAACCCCTCTGTTGACCTGGTACTTTCATCTGACTTCCATAAATCTCTTCCTTTATGTCTTGTGGGTCCTTCAAACATTACATGTCTATAAAAGTCTCACTATTTGGTGCCTACCCTCGAGTGCTGTTTTTGGTTTCTTTTCCTCTCTCCATCTTTTCTCCAGTCTTACTTTTTCTGTCCAAGTTCAGGACCACATTGGGTCTTATATGGACTATATTATAATAGTGTCCTAATTGGTCTCACTCTCTGCAGTCTCTCCCATTTACAAACTCTCTTGTATACAACACATCTGATCCTGTCACTTCCTAATGGAATCAGTTATAAATTTCCCTAATTGCTACACTATGAGGTATTGAGTGTAGAACAATGCCTGTCATATTGCCTGAAATATAACAGGTGCTCAATGAATAATTTAATCTTTTAAAATTGAAATTAAAGTCTTACATGTGTGGACTAGATAGAAGGAAAACATAGAGTTTGGTTTTATAATGTGCTTTTAATAATTAAGGTATTTCAAAGCACTTGACTGTGTAACGTATAACTCAAATATTTCTTGCCTAGAGATTGTGTTGGCAAATGGAAAAGTCATTATACATTAAAAAGAAACCTTACATTGGCCATGACTATTAGAGGACCATCAAGGGAATAATGGTTCCATGATTTAGAAGTTTTGCCTAGCTGTTGTTTTTTTTGAAAAGTACTATGGAATGATCTCAGTATTTAGGAAAATCCTCCACTCCATCCCCACCAGCATCTATTGGCTTCTTTTATTCTCTTGCTGCAGAGAAAATATAATCCCAGAACCCCCAAGGTTCAGAAGCCCATGTTTGCCAGCTACTCTCAGGGTTGTGTACATGAAAGGTAGGAGAGAGGAAGGATGCTGAAGAAGGGGAGGGACAGAGATGGAGGATTCCTTTGTGTTTCTTGGAAGGAGGGTTGCTATTGTGATGAAGATAATGGAGGCTCCTTTATCATCTTGGAGCTGATTAAAAGTTTGGCTGCCCTAGCCGGGCATGGTAGCTCACACCTGTAATCCCAGCACTTTGGGAGGCCAAGGCAGGTGGATCACTGGAGGTCAGGAGTTCAAGACCAGCCTAGCCAACATAGTGAAACCCTGTCTCTACTAAAAATACAAAAAAATTAGTGAGATGTGGTGGCATATGCCTGTAGTCCTAGCTACTTGGGAGGCTAAGGCAGGAAAATCGTTTGAACCCAGGAGGTGGAGGTTGCAGTGAGCTGAGATTGCACCATTGCACTCCACCCTGGGTGACAGAGCGAGACCCCATCTCAAAAAAAAAAAAAAAAAAAAAAAAAAAAGGTTGGCTACCCTGAAGACTTAGGCACTGTCTCTACACGCCTGGAAAAGGTCTGAGCTTCCAATTTGGAGTGTGGGAGAAGCAGAAAGTAAAGGAAATGATTCTAAAGTTATTGCTCTTTTCAAAGGGGAAAGTAATAATGAAATTGTGAATCCTGAAATGAAAGTGCCAGGATTTATTGTGTCTAGCCAGGAACTCATATGCAGGTGTGATGAAAATGGCATCATAAGCATTGGTAGAAAAGATATCAAAAGCAATTCATTGTTTGAGTAAGTGAGTCACCTGGGATCACACTAATCCAAACTCATGGCATCTGGAGGAATCTTTAAAAGTGAGTTTCTTCTAGAGGAGAGGTGCAGGCATCAGAGAGGTAATTTGCATATCTCACAAGCATTATTATCAGACTTCATTTGTTATCCTTCTAAAATTTAATAGGAAAATATGTAACCTCATAAAAGGTTTTATTTTGTTAACTGTATTAAACATCCACAGGCTTTTGACTCTGCAGTCACATTATTCGAGCCATTTCTAAACAGCTGTCCGCATTTGCTATGTTCTAAATTGTTTCAAGGCAGGCAGAGACAGCTCCGGCCAAGATAGTTTGCAATTTATCTTGTGTTTGTATTTTCAACTTTCTTTTAATGCATCCTTACCTCTAGCCCCCAAAGCATACGAATTTGGACCACCTAACAGTATCTCCTTGCCTCACTAACTCTCTCTGCAAATGATAAAGCTGTGCTCCAGAGTCACAGCTCTTTGATGCAAGATCCTGCCTAAAACACACACAGGCACACATACCCCCATACACGAGTGCTCACGTGCACATATACACACACACCTTTAGGGTGTTTCCACTAACTGTGGCTTAAATCATAAGTACATTCACTGTTTACCTAACAGGAGGCCAGAAGTTGTTAGTCCCAGGATTGTTGGCTCAGTGGCTCAATAGTGTCATCGATGATTGAACCTTCTCTGATCCTTCTACTTTGCCATCCTCAGGTGATAGCAGTGTCATCCCTTCTGGTCATGGGATGGCTGCCACAGTTCCAAAAATCACATCTTCATGTAATGGTGTCCAAAGCAGAAAGCAAGGTTGGAGGAAGGTGTCAGGTGGTGGCAAAAGGTCTTTCTTATGAGGGAGGTAAATCTTTCTTAGTAGCCATCTTGCAGACACTTCCTTTCTTCTAATTATTAGAACTGGGTCATGTGCTTACCCCTAGAAAAGGCCATGTGCTTACCCCTAGAAAAGGCCATGTATGATGGCTCATGCCTGTAGTCCCATCTACTTGGGAAGCTGAGGCAGGAGGATCGCTTGAGCCCAGGAGTTTGAGGCTGCAGTGAGCCATGATCACGCCACTGCACTCCAGCCTGGGTGACAGAGACCCTGTGTCAAGAAAAGAAAAAGGAAAAGAAAAAAAAAGAGAAAAAAGTTCTCTAGAAATGAAGGAAAGAATGCCATGTATTGAGTCTGGGCTCATTGCCATCCAACGAAACTAAGTTTTGGTTGGGAGACATTAGAGAAATATGTAGCCAGTCAACAACTTCTGATACACCTACACAGCTGGAACTAGATTGAATCATAGATCTCACGAACCTGGAATTAAGTTACTGGTTACTTGCTCCTGTTTACTGAATCTTATGTTTAGTTTCATTACTGCAGTGGAAGGGAGGAAAAGTAGTTTTCAAGTTCTTTTCCTTGAACTCCTTGCTTCAAGTGATCCTCCCACTTTAGCCTCCTGAGTAGCTAGGATTATGGGTGCAAGCCACCACACCTGGCTCCTCAAGATTTTTTTTTGTGGGGGAAGCAGGGTGGGCAGGACGGACTCACTCTGTCACCCAGGCTGGAGTGCAGTGGCGCGATCTCGGCGCACTGCAACCTCCGCCTCCCGGGTTCAAGCAATTCTCCTGCCTCAGCCTCCTGAGTAGCTGGGATTACAGGTGACCACCACCATGCCCGGCTAATTTTTGTATTTTTAGTAGAGATGGGGTTTCACCATATTGGCCAGGCTGGTCTCGAACTCCTGACCTCAGGTGATCCTCCCTCCTCGGCCTCCCAAAGTGCTGGGATTACAGGCACGAGCCACCGCCCCCGGCAAGATCTTTTTTTAATTAGCTGTCTCGTCAAGGACTTGATATAAATTTCCTGGTTAATGTTTTTATGGTGATCAAAAGCATTGCCACCTAAGAGCATTTCTTTAGAACCTAACAACAAAGGTCACAGTTAGATGATGATCACAGGAACAAACAAATATGGTTCTTGACAACTAATGAGAATGTGCTTTGACAGAATTTATTCTTTAGTTGATATGATATATGCATTGCATTACTAAAATTATACTGTGTTTACATTTTAAAATATCAGTAAAGACAAGGATTATAATTTTATACCCTAAAACATTAAAGGGAATCTGTTAGACATGCTCTGTATCATAATTCCTACGATAACTGTTCTCTCATGTTTTCAGTTTGAGTACTAATGCTAATACAGGAAAAATCTTTTTTTTTTTTTTTTTGGAGACAGAGTGTCGCTCTGTCACCCAGGCTGGAGTGCAGTGGTGCGATCTCAGCTTACTGCAGCCTCTGCCTCCCGGGTTCAAGTGAGTCTCGTGCCTTAGCCTTCAGAGTAGCTGGGACTACAGGCGCATGCCACCATGCCTGGTTAATTTTTGTATTTTTTGTAGAGACAGTGTCTCACCATGTTGGCTAGGCTGGTCTTGAATTCCTGACCTCAGGTGATCCGCCGCCCTCGGCCTCTCAAAGTGCTGGGATTAAAGGCGTGAGCCACCATGCCCGGCCAGAAAAATCTTGAAAATGTGAGATTATTGATTCATTTGACAAATATATTTTGGATGCCTAATATGTGTTAGGCAGGTTAAAAGTTTTAGGAATGCAGCAGTGACAAAAACAAAATCCTGGCCCTCATGGAGTTTACATTCTAGTAAAAGAAAGGAAGAAAATAAAGATACAAATATATAGACACACACACATACACACACACACACACACACACACACACACACACCACACCATCCCATACCCATTAGAATGGCTACTATCAAAACAAAACAAAACAACCCAGAAAGTTACAAGTGTTGGAAAGGACATGGAGAAACTGGAACCCTTGTGTGCTACTGATGGGAATAAATAATCGTTTAGCCACTGTGGAAAACATTATGAATGTTCTTTAGAAATTAAAAATAGAGCTGCTCTATGATCTAGCAGTCCCACTTCTAGAGGGATAAATATACTTCTGGGTATATACACAGCAGAATTGAAAACAGGGTCTCAAGGAGATATTTGTCCACTCATGTTCACAGCAGCATTATAGTCAAAAAGTAGAAGCAAGCCAAATGTCAGAAGAATGGATACACGAAATGTGGCATATACATACAGTGGAATATTCTTCAGCCTTAAAAAGGAAACACATTCAGCCGGGTGCCGTGGCTCACGCCTGTAATCCCAGCACTTTGGGAGGCTGAGGCGGGTGGATTGTCTGAGCTCAGGAGTTCAAGACCAGCCTGGGCAACAAGGTGAAACCCTGTCTCTACTAAAATACAAAAAAAATTAGTTGGCCATGGTGGCGGGCGCCTGTAGTTCCAGCTACTCGGGAGGCTGAGGCAGGAGAATTGCTTGAACCCAGGAGGTGGAGGTTGCAGTGAGCCGAGATTGCGCCACTGCACTCCAGCCTGGGCAACAGAGCAAGACTCTGTCTCCAGACAAAAAAAAAAAAAAAACAGGAAACAAATTCTAACACATGCTACAACATGGATGAGCCTTAAAGACACAGTCTTTTTTTTTTTTTTTTTTTTTGAGACAGAGCCTTGCTGTGTCGCCCAGGCTGGAGTGCAGTGGCGCCATCTCGGCTCACTGCAACCTCTGCCTCCCGGGTTCACGCGATTCTCCTGCCTCAGCCTCCCGAGTAGCTGGGACTACAGATGCGAGTCACCATGCCCGGCTGTTTTTGTATTTTTAGTAGAAACAGGGTTTCACCATGTTGGCTAGGCTGGTCTTGAACTCCTGACCTCAAGTGATCCTCCCGCCTCAGCCTCCCAAAGTGCTGGGATTACAGGCGTAAGCCACTGCACCTGGCCAAAGACATTGTCCTAAGTTAAAAAAGCCAACCACGATTCCAAATATATAAGGTACCTAGAGTAGTCAAATTTACAGAGGCAGAAAGTAGAATAGTGGTAGCCAAGGGCTGGAGGCTGGGGGAATGGGAAGTTGTTGTTTAATGGGTACAGAGTTTCAGTTTTGCAAGATGAAAAGAGTTCTCGAAGATTGGTAGCACAACAGTGTAAATGTGAAAATGGCAAATTTTATGTTACATGATTTTATCCAATTTAAAAATATAAATAAATAATAAAAATTTAAAATATCAGGTAGTAAGAAGGATTATGAAGAAGATAAAACAAGTAGGTGCACAGAGCACTTGGGGTGGGGTGGGTAGATTTATATTTGGTGGTCAGAGAACACTTCCCTGATAAGTGACAGTCAAGCAGAGATCTGAAGTCTGTGAAGGAGGAAGCACACATCTGGGGAAAGAGCATTTCAGCAGATGTTAAAGCAAATGCCAGTGGTAAAAAGTGGAACCAGTTTGGTGTGTTCTAGGAATAGGAAGAGAGCCAGTTGTAGCTCAAACATGATAGGAGAGGAGAGTGGTGGAATAAGGTCTCAGAGAGGTGGTGATGGACAGATCATGTTTCGAGTTATGCCTGAGTATGTATAAAGGCATCCTGGTATGAATAAAATGTAGGTATTATATTTCTCTGTAATTGTAGACATAGTGTCTGTTTGTTTGAAGGCAGATGATTCTGTTGACTTACCTCAGACATATTTTCACTCTCTGTACCTCTCTAAGTTAGATGAACATTCGTATTGGAGATAGAGTCTCCAAGCTGTATTCAGTATTATTCTTCTTCCCACCCCCACCTTGCCATTTTTCTAAGGGAATAGATTTCCAAAATTTTCAAGTTGCAGAATGAATGCTGTATTTATAGTTCAGAGCTAAAATTTAAGCTTATTTTAAGAATTCTCTTATTGCGGGAGGCCGAGGCGGGCAGATCACAAGGTCAGGAGATCGAGACCATCCTGGCTAACACAGTGAAACCCCATCTCTACTAAAAATACAAAAAATTAGCCGGGTGTAGTGGTGGGTGCCTGTAGTCCCAGCTACTCGGGAGGCTGAGGCAGGAGAATGGCGTGAACCTGGGAGGCGGAGCTTGCAGTGAGCCAAGATCACCGCCACTGCACTCCAGCCTGGGTGACAGAGGGAGACTCTGTCTCAAAAAAAAAAAAAAAAAAAGAATTCTCCTATTGCAAAAGTAAGTTTAAAAGGTATGGAAATCAAAGTAAAACTTTTAATTTCAGAATTATCAATAATTTATTGGAAAATACGTAATAAAATGTTCAGTGTTTATAAATATGTATCCATAGCTTACTATGAACTTTATATATAAAATTATATAATACATATATAATTCAGAGACTAGCTGTAGTATGCAGAATAGTTATGGTTAAAATACTATGTTCTGTGTTGTTTAACTCAAATTTTTATATGGAACTAGAGAAAAGTCCTCTCTTAATTATGGCATTAAATGTGTGATATTGGAGAGAACATAAGATTTAGCCAGCAGAGATCAGGTTCAAATACACTGAATATTATTGACTAGATGTATAGCCTTTGGAAAGTTATAAATCCTCTCTGAGCCTCAGTTTCATCACTTGAAAATAATATCACAGATTATGGTTGCTGTAAGGATTGAAATATTGTAAATAAAGCATATGGTATACATCCAAGTAATTTTTATAAAATTACAAATTAAACAACCTAATATTACACCTTAAAGAACTAGAAAAAGAACAAATTAAGCCCAAAGTTAGTAGAAGGAAGGAAATTTATTATTTTTAAATTTAAATTTAAAATTATTATTAGACTAGAAATAAATAAATAAATAAAACTAGAAAGATAAAAAAGATCAATGAAACCAAGGGTTGGTTTTTTGAAAAGATAAACAAAATCTACAAACCTTTAGTGAGACTAGGAAAAAATAGAGGATACCCAAATAAAATCAGAATGAAAGAGAAGACATTACAATTGATACCATAGAAATACAAAGGATCGGCTGGGCGCCTGTAATCCTGTAATCAGGCCTGTAACCCCAGCACGTTGGGAGGCTGAGGTGGGCAGATCACCTGAGGTCGGGAGTTTGAGATCAGCCTGACCAACATGGAGAAACCCTGTCTCTACTAAAAATACAAAAAATTAGCTGGGCGTAGTGGGGCATGCCTCTAATCCCAGCTACTCAGGAGGCTGAGGCAGAATTGCTTGCACGCGGGAGGCGGACGTTGCGGTGAGCCGAGATCGCGCCATTGCACTCCAGCCTGGGCAACAAGAGCGAAACTCTGTCTCAAAAGAAAACAAAAAGAAAAAAAATACAAAGAATTGGCCGGGTGCGGTGGCTCATGCCTGCAATCCCAGAACTTTGGGAGGCCAAGGAAGGCGGATCACAAGGTCAGGAGTTCAAGAGCAGCCTGTCCAATATGGTGAAACCCCGTCTCTACTAAAAATACAAAAATTAGCTGGGCGTGGTGGCAGGCGACTGTAGTCCCAGCTGCTCGGGAGGCTGAGGCAGGAGTATCGCTTGAACCCGGGAGGCAGAGATTGCAGTGAGCCGAGATCGCGCCACTGCACTCCAGCCTGGGCGACAGAGCGAGACTCTGTCTCAAAAAAAAAAAAAAAAAAAAAAAAAAAAGAAAAGAAATACAAAGGATCTTGTGAAACTACAATGGACAATTATAGATCAACAAATTTGAACCTAGAAACAAATTTGATAACCGAGAAGAAATTGATACATTCTTAGACACACACAATCTACTAAGACTGAATCATGAACAAATTTGAGGCTGGCACAGTGGCTCACCCTTGTAATCCCAGCACTTTGGGAAGCTAAGGTAGGATGATCGCTTGAGACCAGGAGTTCAAGATCAGCCTGGGCAAAATGGCAAAACCCTGTCTCTACTAAAAATACAAAAAATTAGCCAGGCGTGGTGACTTGCTCCTGTGGTCTTAGCTACTCTGAAGGTTGAGGTGAGAGGGTCACCTGAGCCCCGGGGAGTTGAGGCTGCAGTCAGCTGGACTCCAGCCTGGGTAACAGAGCAAAAGTGTCTCCAAAAAATAAATAAATAAATAACAAGTGAAAAATACATACATGTATATACACAGAAAATTTGAGCAGATTGATAATGAGTAAGGAGATTGAATCAATAAAAATTTTAAAATAACAACTGTTGGTGAGGATGTAAAGATGTAGTGAAAAAGAAACCCTTGGTTGGGTGTGGTGGCTCAAGCCTGTAATCCTGGCACTTTTTTGGCACACACCTGTGGTCCCAGCTACTCCAGAGGCTGAGATGGTAGGTCTACATCAGCCCAGGAGTTGGAGATCAACCTGGGCAATATAGTGGGACCCCATTTCTACAAAAAATTTAAAAATTAGCCAGGCATGGTGGCACATGCATGTGGTGCTTAGGGGATGAGGCGGGAGGATAGCTTGAGTTCCAATGCCAAGGCCGCAGTGAGGCATGTTTGCCCCACTACACTCCAGCCTGGGTGACAAAGGGAGATCTCTCTCAAAACAAACAAACAAACAAAGAAACAGGAACCTAGTAAACGGTTGGGATGTAAATTAGTACAGTCATTATGGAAAACAATATGAAGTTTTCTGAAAAAAAAATAAAACTACCATATGATATGTCAATTTCACTCTTGGATATATATCCAAAGAAAATGAAATCAGTATGGTGAAGTTATAGATGCATGCCTATGTTCATTGCAGCATTATTCACAATAGCCAAGGTATGGAAGCAATTTAAGTGTCCATCAGTGGATGATTAGATACAGAAAATCTGGGCCGGACACGATAGCTAAGGCCTATAATCCCAGCACTTTGGGAGGCCCAGGCAGGTGGATCACCTGAGGTCAGGAGTTCGAGACCAACATGGCAAAACCCTGTCTCTACTAAAAAATACAAAAATTATCTGGGCATGGTGGTGCATGCCTGTAGTCCCAGCTACTTGGGAGGCTGAGGCAGGAGAGTCACTTGAACCCGGGAGGCGGAGGTTGCAGGCAGCCAAGATCACACCACTGCACTCCAGCCTGGGTGACAGAGAGAGACTCTGTCTCAAAAAAAAAAAAAAGAAAAGAAAGAAAGAAAAGAAAAGAAAATCTGGTATATATGCACAACTACTCAGCCTTTAAAAAAGAAGGAAATCCTGTCATTTGCAGTAATACAAATGAACTTAGAGGGTACTATGTTAAATGAAATAAGCCAGGCACAGAAAAACAAACACTGCATGATCTCACTTATATGAAATCTAAAAAGTCAAAAACATAGAAGCAAAGAGTAGAATGTTAGTTATCAGGGGTAGGGGTTGGCAGAGAGGGCAAGGATTGGGAAGATGTTAGACAAAGGACATGAAATTTAAGAAGACTAAGCCTGGCCAATATGGTGAAACCCTGTCTCTACTAAATATGCAAAAATTAGCCAGGTGTGGTTGTGTGTACCTGTAATCCCAGCTACTTGGGTGGCTGAAGCACGAGAATTGCTTGAATCAGGGAGGCAAAGGTTGCATGAGCTGAGATTGCACCACTGCACTCCAGCCTGGGCAACAGAGTGAGACTCTGTCTCAAAAAAAAAAAAAAAAAAAAAAAAGAGAATACGTTCAGGAGACCTATTGAACATCATGGTGAATACAGTTAATAACAATATATTGTACATTTGAAAATTGCTGGCCAGGCGCAGTGGCTCACGCCTGTAATCCCAGCACTTTGGGAGATCGAGATGGCAGATTGCCTGAGGTCAGGAGTTCAAGACCAGCCTGGCCAACATGGTGAAACCCTGTCTCTACTAAAAATACAAAAAATTAGCTGGGTATGGTGGTGGGCACCAGTAATCCCAGCTACTTGAGAGGCTGAGGCAGGAGAATCGCTTGAACCTGGGAGGTGGAGATTGCAGTGAGCCGAGATCGCACCGTTGCACTCCAGCCTGGGCAACAAAGTGAGACTCCATCTCAAAAAAAAAAAAAAAAAAAAAAGAAAGAAAACAAAATTACTAGAAAAGTAGATTTTAAGTGTTCTTACCACACACACACACAACAGGATAAATAGGCTGGGCACAGTGGCTCATGCCTGTAGACCCAGCACACTGGGAGGCTGAGGTGGGAGGATTGTTTGAGATCAGGAATTCAAGACCAGCAGGGCAACATAGTGAGACACTGTCTCTAAAAAAAAAAAAGAGCAGGCGCGGTGGCTACGCCTGTAGTCCCAGCACTTTGGGAGGCCGAGGAGGGAGGATCATGAGGTCAAGAGATCGAGACCATTCCGGCCAACATGGTGAAACCCCATCTCTACTAAAAATACAAAAAAAAATTAGCTGGGCATGGTGGCCCGTGCCTGTGGACCCAGCTACTCAGGAGGCTGAGGCAGGAGAATCGCTTGAACCCAGGAGGTGGAGGTTGCAGTGGGCCGAGTTACACCACTGCACTCCAGTCTGGCGACAGAGCAAGACTCTGTCTAAAAAAAAAAGGCTGAGTGGTGCACAACTGTAGTCCCAGCTACTTGGGAGACCAAGATGGGAGGATTGCTTGAGCCTGGGAGGTTGAGGTTGCAGTGAGCCATAATTGCACCACTTCACTGTCTTCCAGCCTGGGCAAGAGCAAGATGTAGTCTCAAAAAAAAAAAAAAAAAAAAGATAAATATGTGAGGTAATGAATAAGTTAACTAACTTGATTTACGTATTTCACAGTATACACATATATCAAAACATCTTGTTTTACAGCATAAATATGTACACTTTTTTCCATTAAAATAAGGAACTAGGCCGAGCGCAGTGGCTCATGCCTGTAATCCCAGCACTTTGGGAGGCTGAGGTGGGTAGATCTAGATCACTTGAGCTCAGGAGTTTGAGACCAGACTGAGCAATAAAATAAGACCCCAATCTCTACAGAAAATACAAAAATTGTGGGGTGTGTGTGCACATGCCTGTAGTCCCCAGCTATTTCAGAGGCTGTGAGGTGGGAGGATTGCTTGAGCCTGGGAGTTTGAAGCTGCAGTGAGCCATGATCGTGCCCCTGCACTACAACCTGGGCAACAGAGTGAGACCTTGTCTCAAAAAAAAAAAAAAGTACATATAGTAACTAATATCTACATGTTTTGTATGCATGTAATACTCAAAGTGCAGAAGCAAGGTCTCACTATGTTTCCTGGGCTAGAGGAGTGCCTATGTGGCTGTTCACAGGCACAATCATTGCACACTACAGCCTTCAATTCCTGGGCTCAAGCCTTAGGTTCTCAAGTAGCCGGGACAACAGGTGTGCGGCACCATGCCTGGCTCAGGGATTTTCATAAATATTTCATATGTTGTGGTATACAAGTACCAGCTCACAAGAGCCAATGGTTAAAATATCAGGAATTCTATAAGCTAGTTGACTCATGTTGGTGGCTTGAAATCAGGTAGGAAATTGGTAAGTGCTACAAAGCTACAGAGCTTTCTTATTCCTAGGCTGGTTAAACATCTACCAGCACACCACTGGGTGTATCAGCTCATTTTACTCTCACAATGACTATAAAATGGATACCATTATTATTCCTATTTTACAGATGTGGGAATTGACAGAGTAGGGATTTTTTTTTTTTTTTTTTCAAGAAACAGGGTCTGGCCCTGTTGCCCAGGCTGGAGTGCAGTGGCATGATCGTAGCTCACTGCAACCTGAAACTACTCAAACTACTGGGCCCAACCAATCCTGTTCCCGAGTAGCTACAGGCACTACATTACCATACCCAGCTATTTACTTCTTGTTTTTTGTAGCAAGGGGAGTCTCCTTGTGTTGCCCAGGCTAGTCTCAAACTTCTGGCCTCAAGCAGTCCTTCCACCTTGGCCTCCTAAAGTGCTGAAATCACAGGCCTGTGCCCAGCCAGAGTAGGGATTTTTAATTGTAGCAGTCAGGTTCTTGAGTTCATGGTCATAAACTCTTTGCAATGTTGCTACTGATTGCTCCCAGAGAGGTGTTCTCTCCTTACAGTGTTTTCTACAAAACAGAATCTAGCCTCACAATTGAGTGTTGGGACGCACTTTTAGAAGTCATCTACTTGGGTCTTCACCAACACCAAACAATGTGGTCTACCCTGGACTAGAAAGAGCATGAATCTATGCTTCTAAATAACACTCAGTGTTTCAGGCTGGGCGTGGTGGCTCACGCCTATAATCTCAGCACTTTGGGAGGCTGAGGCGGGGGGATCACAAGGTCGGGAGTTTGAGACCAGCCTGGCCAGCATGGTGAAACCCCGTCTCTACTAAAAATACAAAAAAAAAGGGGCCAGGCACGGTGGCTCACGCCTGTAATCCCAGCACTTTGGGAGGCTGAGGCCAGTAAATCACGAGGTCAGGAGTTCAAGACCAGCCTGGCCAAGATGGTGAAACCCCGTCTACTAAAAATACAAAAAAATTAGCCAGGTGTGGTGGCGGGCACCTGTAATCCCAGCTAATCTGGAGGCTGAGGCAGAGAATTGCTTGAACCCGGCAGGTGGAGGTTGCAGTGAGCCAAGATCCTGCCACTGCACTCCAGCATGGGCGACAAAACAAGACGCTGCCTCAAAAATAATAATAATAATACATAAAAAAAATAAATAACACTGTTATTTATATCTCCCTGAGACTTGGATTCCTCCTCTAAGTATAAATAATTGGGATATGATTATATATTAAGTGCCTCTCACATGTAAAATCCTAGTTTAACCAAAGCCTATCCAATTCTGCTTCTTTGTCCTGGTATTTGGAGGTCCGGTATCTGCTCCATATGTAGCCCATAGCTCTACTAGTGACAAAGCATTAGTTCATGAGTAATTTTACTCTAGTTATTTCATACATGTACACATTTTTTAATAGAAATTATGTAAGTTTTATACTAATAACTTACCATGACTTTGCAAATTAGACTTCAAGCTTCTGCAGAAACTGGTTTTTTCACTGATACAGACCCAGCATCTAGCTCAAATTAAACATTTGTGGAATGAATTAAGGAAATTTTCTTCAATTCAATTCAACAATTCAACTTTGATTCAAATCAACAAGAATTAACACCATAGCTATAGGTTAAATATATTGCATAGAAAAGAAAAGAAAAGGAAAAACTGAAGACAGAGACCAATTTTGTTTGTTTGTTTGTTTTTTGAGACGGAGTCTCACCTTGTCGCCCAGCCTGGAGTGCAATGATGTGATCTCAACTCACTGCAACCTCCGCCTCCTGGGTTCAAGCAATTCTCCTGCATCAGCCTCCCAAGTAGCTGGGAATACAGCTGCCCGCCACCACACCCGGCTAATTTTTGTATTTTTAGTAGAGACGGGGTTTCACCATGTTGGCCAGGCTGGTCTCGAACTCCTGGCCTCAGGTGATCCACCCGCCTCGGCCTCCCAAAGTGCTGGGTTTACAGGCGTGAGCCAACACATCCAGCTAACAGAGATTACTTATATGATGTGGTGTGTGTGTGTGTAAAATACATATTTGCATATATACATATATATATGCATAGTATATCTGTGGAAGGAAACAGAAGGAATAGTAACATTGATTTCCATTAGTGATGAAAAGTGTGAATTCAATTTTAAGCCTACTCACAGTCTCTCCTTAAGAGAACAAGATGCCTACTTTCTAATCTTTTGGAGAAGGAACTGAGCTCCCTAGCTGGCTCACTGATGGGACTTGACAAGTGCTGAAAATATTATCTTTAGCTTGGTGAGTAGTGGGAGCATTTCTGCTATTCCCTCTTTCTAGTTAAATTCAGGGCCAAAATATATTCTTGGGATGGCTTAGAACCTTTCCTTTTCCTGTGTCCAGAGTCATTAATAGTCAAAAACTACTTATTGGAGAAAGTATACTGTGAGGATCCCTGTTAGGGGTGTATAAAATCAATGAAAGGCAAGTTGCCTGCTATCAAGTAGCTGGAATCCCCATGTTGGTGAGATAGAGGTGGGTTCCTCATCGTTTTTCTTTCGGGATTTCAAGAAGTGGTTCTCTTGTATTCTTATGCCACGTATAATAACAATTTATATCATTAAATGTTTTCCCATTATCAAAAGATGTTCATGCTTATTTTTAAAACAGAAATAAGAAGTAATACAGAGAAAAAGAAGAAAAGTCTTCCATTGTTTTACAACCCAAAAATAACCACCATTTTTGGGAGACATTTGTTTCCATTTTTACTTTTATAGTATTTTGTTGGTGTGTGTAGGAAGTAATCTGGGCGTTTTGCCCAGTTTGGTTTAATTTTTGTTTATTTGTGAAGTGTCTTAGATTGCATTACACTTATTAGATCATTACTGTTATTAGCTGTTCCTAATGATACATCATAATGTGATCTTATCAATCTAAAATTGAAGCAATAAAAAGTTCATTCCCTAGAGCAATTGCACATGTTGCCTCAATTATGAAGAAATGATACACACTGGAAATATAACTCTAACTTCAGTGAATTTAAAATTCTGGCCAAGTGAGGTGGCTCATGCCTATAATCCCAGCACTGTGAGAGGCTGAGGTGGGTGGATCCTTTGAGCCCAGGAGTTTGAGTCCAGCTTGGGCAACATAGTGAAACCCTGTTTCTACAAAAATTACTGAGGTGAGAGGGTCGCTTGAGCCTGGGAGGCAGAGGTTGCAGTGAGCTGAGATTGTGCCACTGCACTCCAGGCTGGGTGGCAGAGAGATACTCTGTTTCAAAAATAAATAAAATAAAATAAAATAAAATATAAAATTCCCTGGATGTGGTTCTTTAAGCATTTCTTCTCTGTGCACATTGCTTAAGTGTTAAATCAGACTGGGTTCCTTCATATCCCCCAATACATTGCAGCCTCTTCCACCTCCCCAATTTTGCTTATCTCTTCATCTTCCTGTCTCTACCTGTCAACATTCATCATCTTCAAGGACTGCCACCCATCTTCCCACAAGGGGGCTTTCCTTGTTACACTGATGTCAGTCACAAGACACCAGTGAATCTCTCATTTCCCCAAACCACTGAAGTATTACCCTCTGTACCATTCATGGGGTATGTATATTCTATTTCTTTTTTTAAATTGTGGTAAAAAAACATATAGAATTTATCAGCTTAACCATTTCTAAGTGTACAGTTCAGTAGTATTAGGTTTAATCACATTGTTCTGCAACTAATTTCTAGAAATTTTTCATCTTACAAAACTGAAACTGTGTACTCACTGAACAGCTCTCCATTTCCTCCTCATCCCAGCCCATGGTAACTACTGTTCTTTATATTTCTATGAATTTTTCTACATAGGTGACTCATATAAGTGGAATCATTCAGTATTTGTCTTTTTGTGATTGGTTTATTTTATATAGCCTGTTATATTTGTAGTCTACTTAGGTAGACTATAATTTACATAGTCTATGTTCCCAGAATCCTATTCTTTCTTTTAGGTTTCAGAATAGAAATAAAACCCATCTGTGACAAGTGCCTTTCAATTAAATCACTATATTTTTATAATCCCTTGCCTAACTTAATAACCTAATAGCTGCTAAATTTATCTTAAATTTAAATTAAAAAACAGAACCAGGGCTGGGCGCGGTGGCTCATGCCTGTAATCCCAGCAGTTTGGGAGGCCTAGACGGGCAGATTGCCTGAGCTCAGGAGTTTGAGACCAGCCTGGGCAACACGGTGAAACCCCATCTCTACTAATATACAAAAAATTAGCCAGACGTGGCAGCCTGCGCCTATATAGTCGCAGCTACTTGGGAGGCTGAGGCAGGAGAATTGCTTGAACCTGGGAGGTAGAGGTTGCTGTGAGCTGAGATTGCTCCACCGCACTCCAGCCTGGACAACAGAGCAAGACTCCGTCTCAAAAAAAAAAAAAAAAATAGAACCATAAAGTTTTAGAGAATTTAACAAATCAGTTCTCCAATATTACAGATGAGGAAATTGAGTCCAGAGAATCAGGTATACAGAAGCATGTGGCAGATCATTTTTCATTCCCCTTCACAATGGCAGATTTCAGACATCTGCCACTCAGGGAAGAGATTTTTTGTTAGAGAGGAATTTCCTTGCAATCACACTATTTCAGTAGGTGCTGCATGTGTGGTAAGGTTAATGCTCATTCTGCAAATCCTTTTTAGAGGTAACATTCGTGACTGTGTCATTTTTCTCCTAAACACTGGTTGGGGGGCTGTCATGTAGTGAGATTGCTGATGGCATCACTAGACCACTAGTCTTGGAGGAGCTCAGCTGAAGCTGGAGAGAAAAAGAATGGAAATGGAGAGAAAGAGAAATAGTGACAGTAATTCTCCCTTGAAGGAGCACAATTACATTGTTCTCATGACTGGTTTTGGTAGTGGTAAGTAGTGGTGGTGGTAGTGGTGGCTTTTTTTCAGAAAGTCCCTCTAGTGTTTTTAAGACCTTGGGCTCTGAAGTTGCATGGTTTGAGTTCAAATTTGGGCTCTGAATCTTGCTCAGTGTGTGACTTTGGCCTGGTTACTTCCTCTCTAACTATCAGTTTCATTGTCTATAAATTGGGGATAATATGTTTAGCATATTGCTATGGTGAGAATTTATGCATACAAAGTGCTGTGCACATAGTAAATAGTTCATATTCACAAACATTAGTTATTTTTCATAACTAAAAGAAAAATGCTAACACTCTATAATGCTTGATTTAATAACATATTAGACTATTGTATGTCCAGGAAATATGTAAGTTCTCTCTGTAAATCTGCTGCCTTTCATTGCAGCAAATCTTTGCATATACATGCACATAGAGCACATGGTTTGTATTTTATTTTTGTGAAATGTAAATATCCACCTATCCTCTATCTCAATTATCAGTTGCTGCATAACAACCATTCCAATGTTCAGGGCTTTAAAACAGTAGCTATCATTTATTTGCTCCCGATTCTGAGATTTGTGCAGGACTTGGCAGTTTGCTCCACATGGCATCAGCTGGAGCAGCTTGACTGGGGTTGGATGATCCACTTCCAAGGTGGCCTATTCACATGACTGGTACATTGGTGCTAGTTGGTGGAGTTTGATGGGAGAAGTGGTTCAGTTCTTGCTCAGCTGAGTTCCTCAGTTCTTGCTGCCAGCTGGGTTCTTAGTTCTCTTACATGTGGCCTCACCATATAGATGACTTGGGCTTCTTCCTGGCTTGGTAGTCGAAGGAGTTGGACTATGTATGTTAGGATTTTCTTCCATTTGTACAAAAGGAGGAAGCTCAAGGTTTCTTAAGACTTAGGCCTGGAACTGGCACAGGACAACTTTAGCTGTATTCTATTGGTTAAAATGTGTCAGATTCAAGAAGAGATGGCAGTAAAGGATGTAAATAGCAGGAGATTTGGTTCATCGGGGTACATCGATAGAACAAACTACCATACCATTCATCTAACATAAATATTTAGCAACCTTGATGTATAAGAGAATACTCATTTACTAATTCCACAATTATGTACTGAGGATCTGTCCTGTGCCCAGGTTTATAGTAGGCACTGTGGATACACAATTGAATAAGACATGAGGCCGGGTGCAGTGGCTAACACCTGTAATCCCAGCACTTTGGGAGGCCGAGGCGGGCAGATCACCTGAGGTCAGGAGTTCGAGACCAGCCTAGCCAACATGGCGAAGCCCCGTCTCTATTTAAAAAGTACAAAAATTAGCCAGGTGTGGTGGTGGGCACCTGCAATCCAAGCTACTCAGGAGACTGAGGCCAGAGAATCGCTTGAACCAGGGAGGCAGAGGTTGCAGTGAGCCAAGATTGTGCCACTGTACTCCAGCCTGGGCAACAAGAGTGAGAGTCTGTCTCAAAAAAAAAAAAAAAAAAAAAGACATGCAAGATCCTTGCCCAGGTGGAGTATACATCAGGTAATTAAGCAAGTGATTTCAGTAGTTCCTTACTTAACAGGTGCTGTGAGAGTAGTAAGGGCTGTATGCTGCAGGTAGCTAGCAGGAACCTTAACCTAGTCTGCAGGTTCAGGAGAGTTCTGAATTGTGAGTTAAAAACTACATTCTAGCTCTTCCTCTGGGCTGCCTACCGAGGTGGCAGCCATCTCCTCCTCAGCATCACGGCTGCCCTCAGACCCGTTGTGAAGCCCAAGATCATTAAAAAGAGAACCAAGAAGTTCATCCGGCACCAGTCAGACCCATATGTCAAAATGAAGCGTAACTGGTGGAAACCCAGAGGTATTGACAACAGGGTTCATAGAAGGTTCAAGGCCCAGATCTTGATGCCCAACATTGGTTATGGGAGCAACAACAACAAACAAACAAACAAACAAACAAAAAAACAAAAAACAAAGCACATGCTGCTAGTGGCTTCCGCAAGTTCCTGGTCCAGAACATCAAGGAGCTGGAAGTGCTGCTGATGTGCAACAAATCTTACTGTGCTGAGGTCGCTCACAAAAACCAAGAACCGCAAAGCCATCATGGAAAGTTCTGTCCAGCTGGCCATCAGAGTCACCAACCCCAATGCCAGGCTGTGCAGCAAAGAAAATGAATAGATAGCTCATATGCACGTTTTGTGTTTAAATAAAACCGTAAAAACTGCCAAGAACACAAAAACAAACAAAAAAACTCCTACATTCTAGAAGAGTCCATTGTAAGGAGAGAAGCAGAGTTAAAATAGGCAAAAAAGTCTGATTTGTCTGGATATTTAATGGTTTGATGCACTTAGAAGCACGCCACTGCGCCCGGCTGGAATGAATGCTTTTAAAAGATATTTCTAGGCCAGGCTCTGTGGCTCATGCCTGTAAGTAATCTCAGCACTTTGGGAGGCTGAGGCAGGTGGATCATGAGGTCAGGAGTCAAGACCAGCCTGGCCAACATGGTGAAACCTCGTCTCTACTAAAAATACAAAAATTAGCCCGGCGTGGTGGCTCGCACCTGTAATCCCAGCTACTTGGGAGACTGAGGCAGGAGTTTCACTTGAACCGGGGAGGCGGAGGTTGCAGTGAGCTGAGATTGCACTACTACACTGCAGCCTGGGTGACAGAGCAAGACTCCGTCTGGGAAACAAAAAGAGATCTCTGCCCACACATGTTATGCTGAATTACCCATTTCCTGATGTTCCCTTAGATGGGGGAGGGAGAAGCAATTTCCTCCTTGCTCCCCTCCTATCACTCTCTGATAAAACTGTGTTGTGCTCTTAGCTTTGTCAGTGTAGAGCTAACTTTTAATACTAAAAGAAATAAATATTTAAAGACCAAGACCAGGCTAGGCAACATGGCGAAAACCCATCTCTATTAAAAATACAAAAATTAGCCAGTCTGTAGTCCCAGCTACTTGGAGGCTGAGGTCATAGGATCTCTTGAGCCTGGGAGGTCAAGACTGCAGTGAACTGTGATCACACCACTGAACTCTAGCCTGGGCAACAGAGCAGAACCCCGTCTCAATAAATAAATAAATAAAATAGTAATAAAGTTAAAAATCTTTGTTGCAGGCGGGTTCTTCTAACCTATTTCCATTTCCAAATTCTCCACATCAACCTGGTCTTTCTAAATGTGGTTAGCTATCAGTATTTTAGTTAAAGTTCTGTTCTGATGAGGAAAAAAAAAAGAGGAAAAGCAGAGGAAAATGACCATTATCAAAGAGTGAAAAGTATTATTCTCTTTTTTATTAGCATTATTTATTTATTTTTATTTTTACTTTTTTAGAGACAAGGTCTTGCTCTGTCTCCCAAGCTGTAGCAGTGGTGTCATCATAGCTCATTGTAACCTCGAACTCCTGGGCTCAAGCAATCCTCCTACTTCAGCCTCCAGAGTACCTGGGACTACAGGTGCATGCCACCATGCCTGGCTAACTTAAAAAAATTTGGGGCGGCTGGGTGCGATGGCTCACACCTGTAATCTCAGCACTTTGGGAGGCCGAGGTGGGTGAATCATGAGGTCAGGAGTTCAAGACCAGCCTGGCCAACATGGTGAAACCCTGTCTCTACTAAAAATACAAAAAAGTAGCTGGGTGTGGTGGCACACGCCTGTAATCCCAGCTACTCAGGAGGCTGAGGCAGGAGAATTGCTTGAACCCAGGAGTTGGAACCCAGTGAGCCGAGATCTTGGCATTTCACGTCAGCCTGGGCAACAGAGCAAGACTCCATCTCAAAAAAGAAGAAAAAAAAAATTATTGTAGATGCCAGGCACAGTGGCTTACGTCCGTAATCCCAGCAGTTTGAGAGGCCAAAAGTTCGAGACCAGGCTGGCCAACACGGTGAAACCCCATCTCTACTAAAAAATACTAAATGAGCCGGGCGTGGTCGTGGGCACCCATAGTCCCTGCTACTCAGGAGGCTAAGGCAGAAGAATCACTTGAACCCGGGAGGCAGAGGTTGCAGTGAGCCGAGATTGCATCACTGCACTCCAGCCTGGGTGACAGGGTGAACTCTGTCTCAAAAAAATTTTTTTTTTTTTTTTAGGAACAGAGATCTCACTATGTTGGCCAGGCTGGTCTCTAACTCCTTGCCTAAAGTGATCCACCTGCTTTAGCCTCCCAAAGTGCTGGGATTACTGGTAGGAGCCACCATGCCTGGCAAAAGTATTATTCTCTTAATGGATATTATCACATATTACAACCATAGTTTTTCTAGCAAAAACTGTTTATCATGTGCTTCTATATGCAGAGATCCAGTTTTGCCTTCTTCTCCCAGGCAGAAATTCTCAGGAGAAAGAGATTAGGTCAACTCCCTTTGATTCACTGAGCTGACTATTTCCACTAGGCTTTTCTCTAACCAATAGGCTTCTTTCCAGCAAGCCCAAGCATCCCTTCAGTTGGCCCTCTTCAGAGAGCTCCCTTTTCGTTGCATAGCCATCCTGACAAAGCAAAGCCTGCTCTGTCCATGCTGCTTCTTAGGGCTGGACCTGGGCAATGTGGTCAGGATCGGTGGGCCCTCTTTAGCGATAGGGTGGCAGAGCAGTCCGTCTGTCATCATCATAGTCAGTGCTTTTATGCCTCTGTCCATACAGACGCCTAGTGTAAGCATTGCTCGTCAATTTTGTTTTGGGTATAACTAAAACTTTTTGTTTGTTTTTCTTTCCACTTGGATTTCATTATTCTTCATTTGAAATGACTGGTTTGTAAATCTTTAAAATTGGCTTTGGGTTCAGGGTAAGGTGTGGTGGCTCATGCTTGTAATAGCTACTGGGGTGGCTGAAGTGGGAAGATTGCTTGGGCTCAGGAGATAAAGACCAGCCTGGGCAACATAGTGATACGCCGTTTCTTAAAAACAAACAAACAAACAAACAAACAAGCACAATAAAATTGGCATTGGGTTCAAAACCCTTATCAAAGCATTCTTCTGATTTATTGATATAAACAATTATAATATAGTACTGTTTCAGTTACCAGATGTTGAGTACTTGGCCCCTTTATTTGAACAGGTTACTGTTTAGAGAAGAGTACTTAAATAAAACAGGGCTGGGAGTGGTGGCTTGCACATGTAATCCCAGTGCTTTGGGAGACTGAAGTGGGAGGACTGCTTGAGACCAGGAGTTCAAACCAGTCTGGGCAACGTTTGCAGCCAAATTTTAAAAAAAAATTAGCTGGGCAGGGTGGCATGTACCTTAAGTCCCAGCTACTTGGGAGGCTGAGGCAGGAGGATCTCTTGAGCTCAGGAGGTCAAGCAGTTCACTACTGCACTCCAGCCTGGGCGACAGAGCGAGACTCTGTCTCAGAACAAAATAAAATACTAAAATAAAATAAAAATAAAATATGATAACTGCTACACAGACTTGGGGAAGGCTTCACAGAGGTGAAATTCACCGTGTTGGCACAGTGTCTTCAAACTTTTCACTGAATTCTATGTGTGTGTGTGTGTGTGTGTGTGTGTATTAGGACGGCTATGGAGTTGGGTGAGTGGAGACACACCCTAGATAAGATTGGCTAGGGTAGGTTGTCAGAAGGGCCTTGTTTGCCTTGATAAGGAGGAGTTTGAGCATTATATTTTAGACAATGGTTATCCATAATAGATTTGCAAATAGAGGAATAATCAGATTTACTTTTGCTTCTTTTTAAAAGAAAGTAAAACTAAAACTGAAGAAAAGTCCCCTAAAATGAAATGCCAGATAATCCAAAATTCCATTATAATCATTTATAAACAGGTTTTAGGGGATTTCAGTCCTCATTCCACATCTTCTTTTTTTTTTTTTGAGACAGAGTCTTGCTCTGTTGCCAAGGCTGGAGTACAGTGGCATGATCTCGGCTCACTGCAACCTCTGCCTCCCGGGTTCAAGCAATTCTCCTGCCTCAGCCTCCTGAGTAGCTGGGATTACAGGCACCCGCCACCATGCCCAGCTAATTTTTGTATTTTTAGTAGAGATGGGGGTTTCACCATGTTGGTCAGGCTGGTCTCGACTGGCCTCTCATTCCACATCTTCTGAGATCCGTCAGGACTACCAAGTCAGGCCAAGGCCCAAATGTTGACTCTGATACTTGGCATGAAGAATATGGAATTTTAATCTTCTTCAGACTGTAAAAGAAAATCTTTTCCTATATTAGCTCAATACAGTGTGTAGTCAATGACAGAGTTATTAGTGAAATAGCTTCTTCTACAGGCTGACCATTTTAATGGTGTTTTATATAGCCTTTCCTTTTTGGGGACAGAAACATGAAAGTGCGGGCAGTTTACTTTGGCTGATACCTGATAATTTCATTATGGTAGAATCCTGAATAACTTGCCTTGTTCATTCTTTTAATTATTATTTACATATTTTCTTTCAGTTCTACAATATTGGTTTTTCACATTAAAAGAATGTTAAAATTCGAGACCATTATAAAAGACTATGATGTCTTTTATAGTTCTCTCCTCTAAAGATAACTTCCTTATATTATATTGCTTAAACTAACACATGTAATTAGGTTGGTGCAAAAGTAATCTCGGTCTTTCTCTCTTTCTCTCTCCTTCATTCCTTCCTTCCTTCCTTCCTTTCTTTCTTTCTGTCTCTCTCTCTCTTTTCTATCCTTTTTTTTTTTTTTTTTTTGAGACAGAGTTTCACTTTTACTGCCCTGGCACGATCTCGGCTCACTGCAACCTCTGCCTCCCAGGTTCAAGCAATTCTCCTGCCTCAGCCTCCCAAGTAGCTGGGATTACAGGTGTGCGCCACCACACCCAGCTAATTTTTTTGTATTTTTAGTAGAAACGGGGTTTCACCATATTAACCAGGCTGGTCTCGAACTCCTGACCTCAGGTGATCTGACTGCCTTGGCCTCCCAAAGTGCTGGGATTACAGGCGTGAGCCACCATGCCTGGCCTCTTTTATTTTCTTTTTTTTTCTCCACCCAGGCTGTACTGCAGTGGCGGATCCAGCTCACTACAACCTCTGCCTGCCGGGTTCATCCAATTCTCCTGCCTCAGCCTCCCGAGTAGCTGAGATTACAGGCATGTGCCACCATGCCTGGCTAATTTTTTTTGTATTTGTTTTTTTAGTAGAGATGGGGTTTCGCCATGTTGGCCAGGCTGGTCTCGAATTCTGCCCACCTCGGCCTCCCAAAGTGATGAGATTACAGGCATGAGCCACCAGGCCCGGACATTTTGGCTATTACTTTCAATGGCAAAAACTGTGATTACTTTTGCACCAACCTAATAGAGGTATATTATTCTGTAGCTTTTGTTTCTGATTGAACATCTCAGATAAAATAGCTCACATAGATAAACTTAATGGATACAGAATATTAGACTTTATGAATAATTCTACTCTGGGAGATTTCCATTGTTTCCAGTTTTTCACGTTACCTATAATATTTCCTTAGGATATGATTTTTTTTTTTTTTTGAGATGGGGTCTTGCTCTGTTGCCCAGGTTGGAGTGCAGTGGCACGACCTCGGCTCACTGTAGCCCCCGCCTCCCGGGTTCAAGCAATTCTCCCACCTCAGCCTCCCGAGTAGCTGGGATTACTGGGGCATGCCACACCACACCAGGCTAATTTTTTGCATTTTTAGTAAAGATGGGGTTTTACGATGTTGGCCAGGCTGGTCTCAAACTCCTAACCTCAGGTGATCCACCCACCTCAGCCTCTCAAAGTGCTGGGATTACAGGCATGAGCCACCACGCCTGGCCAGGATAAGATTTTAAAAGTAGAATTTCTGGATCATACTAGAGCATCTTGAATTTTAGTATATGTTGTCAAATTATCCTCTACAGTTTTGGCACAAATTTGTATTCCCACTTACAGAATATGAGAGTACCTGCTTTAGCAAATACTTGCCAACATTAAGCTTTTTCTCTCATTTTTGTCTTTCCCAATATAATCGTCAAAAAGCATTTCAGTGGATTAACATGTATGTCTTCATCTGTCATCAGGTTAAACATATTTTTGTAAGTTTATTAACCATTTATATTTCCTTATTTGTGAATGTCTGTTGACAGTCTTTGTCATTTTCTATTGGTGTTTTGCTCTATTGATTTGTAAGCCCTTTTTCTCTATATGTCATATGTGATCAAGTAGTTTTTTCTCAGTTGGACTGTAATCCTTTGAATTCATTTATCATATGTTTTCTTTATTATTTGTAAGCAGACAGTCAATTTATCAGCCTTTTTCTTCCTTCATTGGTTACTTCTTCCTTGACTAATTCTAAAAGAAAAGTATTACATACATTCACCTATTATATAGGTCACAACACAAACACATCACATAAACACATCAAACATAAATTCCGACATAAAAACTATCATTCTTTTTTAAATCTATTTTTATTTTCTTACTTTTTAATTTTTGTGGGCACATAGTAGGTGTATATATTTATGGAGTATATGAGATACTTTGATATAGGCATGCAATGCGTAATAATCACATCAAGGTAAATGGGGTATCCATCACCTCCAGCATTTATCCTTCTTTTATGTTACAAACAATCCAATTATGCTCTTTTAGTTATTTTTAAATGTACAATAATTTATTGTTGTCTGTAGTCACCCTGTTGTGCTATCAAGTACTAGATCTTTTTTTTTTTTTTTTTTTGAGACAGAGTTTCGCTCCTGTTGCCCAGGCTGGAGTGCAATGGCACGACCTCGGCTCACTGCAACCTCCACCTCCTAGGTTCAAGTGATTCTCCTGCCTCAGCCTCCCAAGTAGCTGGGACTATAGGCACCCACCACCATGCCTGGCTAATTTTTGATTTTTAGTAGAGATGGGGTTTCTCCATCTTGGTCAGGCTGGTCTCGAACTCCTGACCTCCGGTGATCCACCTGCCCTGGCCTCCCAAAGTGTTGGGATTACAGGTGTGAGCCACTGCGCCCGGCCCCAATTACTAGATCTTATTCATTCTATCTAAATATATGTTTGTATCCATTAACCATCCCCACATCTCTCCCCCTTCCCCACTGGCTGCCCTTCCTGGTCTCTGATAACCATTTTTCATTCTATTTCCATGAATTCAGTTGTTTTAAATCATTCTTGTTGTTGTTATTGTTGTTTTTTTTCAATAATCCTGTCCTCTCACTCACCTACCATCCCCTTCTATCAGCCCTTTAAAGGAATCCACTATATTTTCAATTCTATAGTGACTCTTAAAGAGATTTTGGAAGTTCTTAGACAGGATTACATATATTTAGGATGACAATTAAATTAGCAAGTATGGCCAGCTTTTATTGATCATCAAAATGTACAAGAACTAAAACAATTGAAAAATTATATTAATCTTGAGTAATTTTCTAAATATATTTAAAGAGAACACTATATATGTTTAATTTCTATTAAAACTGCTTTCTTAGTGCTTACATATGATACAAACAAAAAAAAGTTCAAATGTTGTTTGGATTGTGGTGGTAGAGTTATCTTGGGGGTTAGAAAATCCCTAACCCAGGTACTCAGGAGGCTCAGGCAGGAGAATCGCTTGAACACGGGAGGTGGAGGTTGCAGTGAGCTGAGATTGCACTACTGCACTCCAGCTTGGGCAACCGAGTGAGATGCTGTCTCAAAAAAAAAAAAAAAAGAGAAAAAGAAAATGCCTTTTTGAATACAGACCTCCTCCTAACATGCATAATTTTCTGGATAAAGGAAGCTGTCATTATTTTCTTGAAGTGATACAGATGATGTGCTCCTTAGCTTATCACATGTTTTAGTGTTAAATAAAATTTGGTTTCATCTGCAGATTTGTAAAATAGAAACAAACAGTTAACACATTAATCTAAAGGAATGTCTTCATTTTAATAACTTCAAAATAGTTTTGAATTATGTATTAACTTACATTTTAATCATGCATAATAGGAAAGCTGGATGAAGCTTATTAAAATTATTCCTTGACATATTCAATGATAAAAAAGACATGCTTTTGTGATTTTTCTGCAAATACTTCAAATATATTCAAATATCCAATTTTAAGCAGTAGAACTAAGGCTGTATAACTGTGGTCACGCATTTACGAAATCCCTAAAACAAATTTCAATTTCTATTATATTATTTCAGGAATTAAGCACAGTTAACAATGGTATCAGACTCACAGCAGATGACATTACCTTTGCAGTTTTCTAAAAAAGAAGGGAGCAACACCAACCTTATCTCTTAAGGTTGAGGAATTCCTAACAGCATAAGTCATAATGAAGAGTATCAACATCCTGAGGTGACACATTCTTTAGCCAAAACTCTGTGGGGATTTTCAAAGTGGGAAATTCTTTTGTGTCTTTGAAACCAGGCAAATCAAAGGAATTTATTTTAATCTGGCTTAAGTCCAGGCCAGTGAGTGGCACTAATAAGGAACAAACACATTAGCACCAAAAGGAAATGATCATTAGAAAAGAAATCTTAATCTGTCCATAGCCCACAGGCTGAGATCTCCAAAGCCTTGTCACGGGACTTTAAATGTAAAAATCACATTCAAATGTGTAAAATGATAATGTACAAGAATATTTACATGTGAAAATTGGTGGTTTATGTGCATAATTGGTTAGCTGAATACCTTTTTGTTGGGAGTAGGGGGTGGAGTTCTCCTAGGAACTCTTGAGCTTGTGAAAGAAAAAGGAAGAGAAAAGTTTTATGTGAAAGCACTACATTTAAGAGTGGATTCATTTTTCAAATTGAAAGTTAAATATTAAGTTCTGAGAATTAAGTAAATTGGTTCTGATCTGATTTATTTTAATGGTGGTTCTCTAATTTCTGGTTTTACTTTCTGGAACATCAAGAATATTGAGAATTAAAAGAAGGTGGGAAAGGGTGACAGGACAGGAGTAACAGAAGACATTAAATACCAGACTTTAACCCTCCAGTCTCCTAGGGTTGGAAAGGAGAAATATTGTGAGATAAAAGTGAGAAGTTGGTAAGGATTTCTGAATATGTGATAACTGCTGGGGTTATCAAAATAGTCCTAGCAAAATGGGTTTATAGTTTTCTATTCTAGAGAGTTCCTTGAAATGTCATCAGATGTATATTTACTAATTTTTTCCATTGATAAAAGGATTTGGCTATCATCCTAGATTATAATGTGTTCTACATTAGCTATTGAGATGTAGTAAAAGCTGTTTTCATACATTTTTTGTAAGGCATCCTCCAAGTGATTCAATATCTGCAGTGCATCAGGAAAATGTGGTGATTAATATTGTATGATGTAGAACACGAAGAGCTCTTCTTTCAAGGAGCTACCTTAGGCAAAAAACAAAGTTTTAAAATCTGGAACTGAACACCACCAAATGTGCCTATACAGACAAACATGCTTACCATGTAATAATGGTTATACAGCAAATTAAAGTGGTTATTGTGGGTTTTATAGAGTAAATATGGCACAAATGAAAAATCAAATTCAGGGTCCTCAAGCAGTGGTAGATGTAATTCAGTCTTGTTAGACTTGAGCCTGCTATGGAAATGTAGAGAACATCCTCATAACAAGCCTAATGGAACATATTTCTTTTAGGAATGTGAGTGACCTGGTGTCCTTAATTCCTGGAGAGGCATAGCTTAATGACATATTATTTTCACCTTTACCTGATTTTTTTCTAGCATGCTTTATGTTTATCTTATGTTAACCTATAAGGCTATGCTAATTTTATGCACAGACAGCACATTCCTGTTTGACCTTATTTCCCTTCCTCTAACTCCTGCAGCTGTTGGGCCTAAAGTTCCTCACAGTGTAATTTTGTGCTGGATGTGGTCTGAGGATGGATGAATCCAAGATACTCAAATACATATTTTATGGTCCCCTGAGGCAAGGCAATTGAAAACCACTTGATTGGAGGACATTTTGAAACACACCCATGCTTTTAAAATGCTTTGAATTATTGGAAACAAGAATTGCAGATATTCAACTTAGTAAACAGCAGCTGGAGGTAGAGATTGTCCTTTAAAATAAAGTCAGTGGACGGACCTATGATTTTATTTATTTATTTATTTATTTTGTAGATGGAGTTTCGCTCTTGTCACCCAGGCTGGAGTGCAATGGCGCAATCTCAGCTAACTGCAACCTCTGCCTTCCGGGTTCAAGCCATTCTCGGGCCTCGGCCTCCTGAGTAGCTGGGATTACAGGCGTGTGCCACCACGCCCATCTGATTTTTTTATTATTAGTAGAGACAGGGTTTGGCCATGTTAGCCAGGCTAGTCTCGAACTGCTGACCTCAGGTGATCCACCCGCCTCGGCCTCCCACAGTGCTGGGATTACAGGCGTGAGCCACCGCGCCTGGCCTGACCTATGATTTTAAGTCATCTTTGATCAAGCATGCATCCTTCTATGCTACCTGTACATTGAGCAGTTATCACCATTTGTAATGTTACCAGTGATATCATTGGTAAAGTATGGGAGGAAAAGCCTGAGTCTCAAGAGTAACGTGCATGTAGGGGTTTCAAGTCTCTGGTGGGAAAAAATGTTTTGAATGACTTTGTACTCAGGCATAAAAATAGATCCATAGATATTAATGGCAATCACTTGTTTATGGACCCAACTTTGGAATTTTGGGAGGAAAGTTATATTCAGAAAATGTATGGAAACTCATGAGCTCTTTACTCCAGACTTTTTCAGAGTCAGCAGTCACCAACCCTGGAGGGCTTATGAGAGAGATGGTCTCCTACTGAATAGTTACTGGATTGAGAACAGTCACAGCAGTGTTTCCTAGGATTGTACCATGATGTTTGTGGAAAGTGATAGATAATAATGAAGCAAATTTTAGACACTGAGATTTATCATAGAACATAACAGTTGCTAAATTTTGGGATTATCTAGCTGTAGGTAACTTTTTGTTCTGTTTTGTTTTGAGACAGAGTCTTGCTCTGTCACCAGGCTGGAGTGCAGTGGCGCGATCTTGGCTCACTGCAACCTCCGCCTCCCAGGTTCAAGCCACTCTCCTGCCTCAGGCTCCCGAGTAGCTGAGATTACAGGCGCCCACCACCACGCCCAGCTAATTTTTGTATTTTTAGTAGAGATGGGGTTTCACCGTGTTGGCCAGGCTGGTCTCGATCTCCTGACCCCGTGATCCGCCCTCCTTGGCCTCCCAAAGTGCTGGGATTACAGGCGTGAGCCACCGCTCCTGGCATCTAGCTGTAGGTAACTTCTAACACATTTTCTTTCATACTTTTTTTTCTTCTGAGACAGGGTCTCTGCTGTCAGGCTGGCATGCATTGGTGCAATCACAGCTCACTGGCTGGGTGCAGTGGCTCACAACCGTAATCCCAGCACTTTGGGAGGCTGAGATTGGCAGGTTGCCTGAGCTCAGGAATTTGAGACCAGCCTGGGCAACATGAGGAAACCCCATATTCACGAGAATCGCTTGAATCTGGGAGGTGGAGGTTGCAGTGAGCCAAGATCGCCCCGCTGCACTCCAGCCTGGGCGACAGAGTGAGAGCCTGTCTCAAAAAAAGAAAAAAAGATTGTAATATTGTATTTTTACATACCTTTTCTATGTTTAAATATGTTTAGATACACAAATACTTACCATTGTGTTACACTTGCCTACAATATTCAGTATATATATATATAGTAACATGCTGTACAGTTTGTAGCCTAGGAGCAATAGACTATACTGTTATGGGAAAGGGGTCCTGATCCAGACCCAAGAGAGGGTTCTTGTATCTTGTGCAAGAAAGAATGAGAGGCGAGTCCCTTGAGTAACGTGAAAGCAAGTTTATTAAGAAAGTAAAGGAATAAGGGAATGGCTACTCTATAGGCAGAGCAGCCCCAAGGGCTGCTGGGTTGCCTATTTTTATGGTTATTTCTTTCCTTTTTTCTTTTTTTTTTTGAGACACAGTCTTACTCTGTCATCCAGGCTGGAGTGCAGTGGTGCAGTCTTGGCTCACTGCAACCTCCACCACCTGGGTTCAAGCAGTTCTCCTGCCTCAGCTTCCCGAGTAGCTGGGATCACAGGCACGGGCCACCATGCCCAGCTAATTTTTGTATTTTTAGTAAAGATGGGTCTCACTATGTCGGTCAGGCTGGCCTCGAACTCCTGACCTCAGGTGATCCACCTGCCTCTGCCTTTCAAAGTGCTAGGATTACAGGCGTGTGCCACCATGCTCGGCCTAGAAGATTTAACAAGGTACAGAAACGGAACAAAGAAGGAAGCAGCCACCTCTCTGGTAGCTATTTAATGCATCATCATAACCCAGTTTTCCTGCTTCTCTATCCCTAAATTCTTATGCTACATGGTATTGTCTCCAGTCCCCAAAACCAACCCCAACCTCCCCCTCCAAGGAAATGTGGCAGTGTAAAAGGTGACCAGGCTTGCAATGTGAAGGAAAACTGCTAGCATTTACAATGCCATATACCAGCAGCAAGCGACCCGTGAAAGAGAAGAAACACTCGGCCCTGAATTTTTAAAATATAGTAGCACAGTTAACAGCACTGGAAATCAGAAAGCTGCAGTCCAGTCCTGGCTCAGCCATTAACTAGCTAAAGGACTAGGCAAATATGTAAATCCATGAGGTTAGACTAAAAGGCGACTTAAGGCACTGCCCGTTTGGTGATTCTAGAACTTTTCATAACAGACTTCACTAAGTTCAAAGAAAGAAGATATCATTGTGGGCAGGAAATGTCAGGGAAAACTGTGTGGAGGAGCTGTGGATTGGATTAGGCCCTAAAGGATGAGAAGGATTAAGTAGCAGGGGGGAAGGGATGGAATTGGAGGGGGAAGGGGGAAGCATAAGGAAACAGCTTTAACAAAAATGTAGGAACAGGAATGCACCCAGAGATATGCTAAGGTGTAGAGGGAGTTCCCACCAGATGGCAGAGATCTTATCTCTAAGGTAGGAAGTGAGATCCAGCTGCATAAAGAATCCCAAAGGAGGTGTTAAGGACTTAAGAAGTGGGGGAAAATTTTGGACCATTTCTTATAGGGGATGTGGAGGATGTGCTGGAGTCCCAACAAGGGATGTTGCAGCACAGCTGGGAAACCCTTTTAGTGTAGCCTGTGAAATGTTAGTGAGTTGATTTTACTGATTTTACTATCAGTACAAAGAATAGGGAGAAAATAGCTTGGAGCATGCTCTGGTGTTTTTGCTAGCATTCCCAGGACTTATTAACCAAGGGTAAATGACCACTGAAGCCAGTGGTTCTTATACACATGGCACAACCTGATCCCCACTCCTAGAAATTAGAGGTTTTTTATGAGAAATTCAAGGGAGCAGGGAGTCCATATTCTCCACTGGACACTGTGTTAGGAGGCTCACTCTGTGTTTCTTGTCCTCACTGGATTACTAACATCACTCTCTGCTCTTTACCATTTGCTTCAACTCCATAAACCCTCCTTGAGAGATGTGAGTAGATGCCTGTGCAGGGCAAGCACTCCACTCACCCAGTCGCTGGGCTGGGGCTGAGGAGGAGGCAAGAGAGCAACTCTGGGGCATTAAATGTTAAGCAGCAAGTGCCTCTGCTTTCTAGTTCAGTCCTTTTTCTCCCCCTCCTCAGCTTTTGTTTTTTGTCTTTTAGAGACAGGGTCTCTCTCTGTCTCACTGGCTGGAGTGCAACAGCAGAATCCTGGCTCACTGCAGCCTTGATTTAGTAACTGTGTCTACAGACACATGCCACCAGGCCTGGCTAATTTTTTTTTTTTTTAACTTTTTTTGAGACAGGGATCTGTTGATGTTGCCCAGGCTGGGCTCAAGCAGTCTTCCCACTTCTGTCTCCTAAAGTGCTGGGATCACAGGCCTGAACCACTGCACCTTGCTCTTCTCTCCCCACCTCTTTGTTTGTTTGAGAGTCTCTCTCAGTTGCCCCAGCTGCAGTGCAGTGGAAATCGCTGCAGCCTCCAACTTGTAGGTTCAAATGATCCTCCTGTCTCAGCCTCCTGAGTAGCTAAGACTACAGGCATGCGCCACGATACCTGGCTAATTTTTGTATTTTTTGTAGAGAAGAGATTTCATCATGCTGCCCAGGCTGGTCTTGAACTCCTGGGCTCAGGTGATCCTCCCACCTCAGGCTCCCAAAGTGCTGGGACTACAAGTGTGAACCTTTGCGCTGGCCTCCCACTCTTCTAAGCAACACCTCCTGGCTATGCTGTCTCTATGACCACTGCCCTTCATTTCACGAATATGCTGTTCAGGAACCTGACAATAAGTCTGGTCTCTCCCTCTTCCCAGGTCTCCATCCCATATTATTTTCCTCGAGCCTCAGGCCATTTCCTTCAGAGAGCACATTGGTGCCTCCCAAAGCCTCACCAAGGTGCTTCTCCCGGACTCGAAGAATGAGTCTTGCTTCATCTGCTGATATGGAATAAATGTGCAGGCAAGTGGTAGAAAGAGTTTTGGAGAAATCTCCAAACCCATAGATATTACAGTTGAGCGGACTAGATAGCTGGATACATATACAGCCATGTGTCACTTAACAATAGGAATACATTCTGAGAAATGCATCATTAGCAATTTCATAATTGTGCAGACACCATAGAGTGTACCTACACAAACCTAGATGTTAGAGCCTACTACACACCCAGGCTACATGGTATTGTCAGAGGCATTTGAACCAGAGCAACTCCATCTTGAACAGGCGCTGCATAAAATGAAGCTGAGACCTGCTGGGCTGCATTCCCAGAAGGTTAAGGCATTCCTAGTCACAGGGTGAAATAGGATATTGGCACAAGATACGGGTCATAAAGACCGTGCTGATAAAGCAGGTTGTAGTGAAGAAGCCAGCCAAAACCCACCAAAACCAAGATGGCCATGAGAGTGACCTCTGGTTACCCTCACTGCTACACTCCCACCAGGACCATGACAGTTTACAAATGCCATGGCAATGTCAGGAAGTTACCCTATGTTGTCTAAAAGGGGAGGCATGAATAACTCACCCCTTGTTTAGCATATAATCAGGAAATAACTGGCTGGGCATTGTGGCTCATCCCTGTAATCCCAGCACTTTGGGAGGCCAAGGAGGGTGGATCACTTGAGGTCAGGAGTTTGAGACCAGCCTGGCCAACATGGTGAAACCCTGTCTCTACTACAAATACAAAAATTAGCCAGGCGTGGTGGCACATGCCTGTAATCCCAGCTACTTGGGAGGCTGAGGCACGATAATCACTTGAACCCGGGAGGCAGAGGTTGCAGTGAGCCGAGATTACGCCACTGCACTCCAGCCTGGGCCACAGAGTGAGACTCTGTCTCAAAAAAAAAAAAAGTATATATATATATATATATATATATATATATATATATAAAATTGCATGGGGATATATAAAACAGCTTTCCAGTTGTTCACAGGTTCTCTCTTCCACTAGACTGTGAACAGCTTGAGGACAGGACAATTACTGTGGCATGTCCTCTGCCTGGCATAGTAATTAGTCCCTAGTTAACGTTGGTTCACCTGCACTGAAGCCAAAGCCCCTTTCTGGGCCCCGGTTTCCTTTTGCCATAAAATAAAATATTTGCACCGGATGATTTCTAACATCCTTTCCAGTTCTAACATCCTATGGTTGATCTGAAGTTTCTTATAAATCAAAAGCAGAGGTAGCAAACTGTTAGCTTGTGAGCTGAGTTGGGTCCTCGTTGTTTTTGTTGTTTGTATTGTTATGAGTTTTTTTTTTTGGGGGGGCGTGTATTATGTTAAAAACTTTTAATGAGTTCCAGGGGCTAAAAGTCTTCATATTAAAGTACAGATTTTTAGCTTATCTCCAAAAAACAGGGCCCACTGAGCCTGCTTTCCCTCAGGCAGCCATTGGCTAGAGCACTCTCATGTGGCTGCCACCTGCAAACTCAATTTAAGGTCCCTGTTCCCCCATCTCCAGGCCACAGTATATATTAAGTTTATAATCCCTGCTCTAAAGTTGCCCAAGAAAACTTACTAGAAAGTGAGGCAGTAGAAGGGAGAGTGAGGGGTTCATGTAAAGACAAGAGTAGAGATTTGAGGAGATGAAATATTGGAAGAACACATCTAACCTAGTAACGGTGGTCACCCCTAGAAATAGAGACACTGGAGGAGGGAGAAAGATGAAGATTTTTTTACTTTTTTTACCTCAAACTCTTATATCCTAATAATCTACCAGTTGGGAAAATCCCAGATGAAGACTTGAAGGCATATCATCTTAGAAGTAGCTAATATTTATCTTGCCAGGGTTTAAAGTCTGATAGTGGACCACTGTATATGCCTTGTGGCAAGAATGACTTCCTGCCCTGCTTCCGCACCTCAATCCTGCCCCCCTCCAATCCCCTGGGCCCCATCATTAATTTATTAAAGAAACTGGATTGTCCTGTGTCAAGTTTCACATTCTGGATATGTCTCATTGCTTCCTTGTGTTGTTTAACTTGTTTCACTGTCCTGCCACACACGTTTTTAAAGACTGAATTATGACCTTTCCAATGAATTAGTTAACTGGTAAGGGCTTCATGGAACTATTGTTAGTTGGCTCTGTATTGTCTCACATGTCCATGTGAAGAGACCACCAAACAGGCTTTGTGTGAGCAACAAGGCTGTTTATTTCACCTGGGTGCAGGCAGGCTGAGTCCGAAAAAGGAGTCAGCAAAGGGTGGTGGGATTATCATTAGTTCTTACAGGTTTTGGGATAGGCGGTAGAGTTTGGAGTAACGTTTTGCGGGCAGGGGTGGATCTCACAAAGTACATTCTCAAGGGTGGGGAGAATTATAAAGAAACTTCTTAAGGGTGGGGGAGATTACAAAGTACATTTATCAGGGTGGGGCAGAAACAAATTACAATGGTGGAATGTCATCAGTTAAGGCTATTTTCACTTCTTTTGTGGATCTTCAGTTGCTTCAGGCCATCTGGATGTATACGTGCAGGTCACTGGGGATATGATGGCTTAGCTTGGGCTCAGAGGCCTGACATGTATCATGCCAATAATAATATAAATGTTTTCTTTTTTTTTTTCCTTAAGCAAGTCAAGTGAAGCAGTGGGAGTGGAGAAGGAACAAAGAAATCTGTAACTGGTTATAATCAATTTGTCATAAATACCACTGCACTTGGACTACCCTTATTATTATTATTATTATTATTATTAAGACACAGTCATTGGCCGGGCGCAGTGGCTCACACCTGTAATCCCAGCACTTTGGGAGGCTGAGGTGGGCAGATCACGAGGTCAGGAGATTGAGACCGTCCTGGCTAACACGGTGAAACCCCATCTCTACTAAAAATACAAAAAATTAGCCGGGTGTGGTGGCGGGTGCCTGTAGTCCCAGCTACTGGGGAGCTGAGGCAGGAGAATGGTGTGAACCCGGGAGGCGGAGTTTGCAGTGAGCCGAGATCACACCACTGCACTTCAGCCTGGGTGACAGAGTGAGACTCTGTCTCAAAAAAAAAAAAAGACAGAGTCTCACTCTGCTGTCCAGAGCACTTGGCTCTCTCAGGTTGAGCATTATAGGATACAAAATCTAGCTGGGGTTTATGATTTCACCAGTTCAGTATTGTTGGTTCGGAAATAATTTGGTTATCAATTCACGTAGAACTAACTAATCAGGCTTTGGGAGAATAGATTCTCTATAATTTATAAGATACTGCTTTATAACCCAAAATGGCAATCAATTTATTAGTGGTGGGATTGTGTCTTTCCAATGTCTAGAATAGTAATGTTTATCTGGTATCCAAGTACTTGCTAAAGCAAATTAATAATCCACATGTTACTTGGGAGAATTGGTTATGTACATAGGGAGTTATCTGTGATGGAAGCTGAGGAACTATGAAAGCTTTATGATTATGAACACTCGAGTAAGAGATTTTTTGAGCTCGGCTGGAAAAATATTGAAAAATTAGATCTTGTGGCTCATGCGTGTGATCCCAACACTTTGGGAGGCCAAGGCGGGTGGATCCCCTGAGGTCAGGAGTTCGAGACCAGCCTGGCCAACATAGTACAACCCCATCTCTACTAAAAATACAAAAATTAGCCCTACATGGTGGTGGGCATCTGTAATCCCAGCTACTCAGGAGGCTGAGGCAAGAGAATCGCTTGAACCCGGGAGGCAGAGGTTGCAGTGAGTTGAGATTGCGGCATTGCAATCCAGCCTGGATGACAGAACGAGACTCCATCTCAAAAGAAAAAGGAAAGTTAGATCTTAGGAAATTTTCCTAGAACTCATGAGTGCCATCACTTAAAAAAAATTGTTCTTACATCACCCTGTAATTCCCAAATTATATCATTTCTCTCAATGACAGCAGTGACTTTTCTTTTCTTTTTTTTTTTTTTTTTGATACGGAGTTTTGCTCTTGTCACCCAGGCTGGAGTGCAATGGCGCAATCTCGGCTCACTGCAACCTCCGCTTCCCGGGTTTGAGTGAGTCTCCTGCCTCTGCCTCTCGAGTAGCTGGGATTACAGACGCCCGCCACCAAGCCCGGCTAATTTTCTTTTTTTGTATTTTTAGTAGAGACGGGGTTTCACCATGTTGGCCAGGCTGGTCTCGAACTCCTGAACTCAGGTGATCCACCCGCCTCCCAAAGTGTTGGGATTACAGGCGTGAGCCACTGTGTCCGGCTGACAGCAGTGACTTTTCTCATCAGTAACTGTCAAACAGTATTAACAAAAGTCTACATTGATGAATCACCACGTGCTAGGCACATTTGCAGGTATTTTACACACATTAATTTATTTGATCTCATAAGAATCCTGTGAGGTGAGAGCTAATATAATCTCCTGTTTTATAGATGAGGAATTAGAAGCATAGAGAATTAAAGTAGTTAACTTTTGGACAGTTTATCATTTATTTAATAGGTAATCCATGGTTTATGGATTATGAGTTCTTGTAAATTGAAATCATGAAGCTTTTGACTCATGAATATCTTATACTTCTCTTCACTTTGCTGGATTTTAGGGTGAATCTTTTGTGTTTGTAGTCATATCATTATAAAACAGGAATAAAGAAAGGCTGTGGATTGAGAAGCGCTATACGTAAAGGAGAAAAATGTAAAAGCCTTCTTAATTTTGGGTTGTAATCCTTCTAAAGATGGATTTTTTTTTTTTTGAGACGGAGTCTCGCTCGTTTCTCAGGCTGGCGTGCAATGGCGCCGTCCTGGCCCACTGCAACGGCGCCGTCCTGGCTCACTGCAACCTCCACTTCTCGGGTTCAAGCGATTCTCCTGCCTCAGCCTTCCCAGTAGATGGGATTACAGGCATGTGCCATCACACCCGGCTAATTTTGTATTTTTTTTTTTTAATAGAGCCAGGGTTTTTCCATGTTGGTCACTCAGGTCCCGACCTCAGGTGATCCGCCCGCCTCGGCCTCCGAGTGCTGGGATTACAAGCATGAGCCACCGCGTCCGGCCAAGATGGATTTTTTTTTTAGGTGTATTTTTCTGAGTCACATACACATTCTAACATTAAATTAGAAAAATGGAATTATTTTTCCGATTTATAGTCAATTGTAAAATTTATTCATTTAATTTTTATTAAGTACTTCATAATACGCTGCATAATCTTTCAGCAGGAGTAGATGAGCATAGCTATTCTCTTATCAATCAGGAAATGCTGTCTATTTTTATTTATTTATTTTTTGAGATAGAGTCTCACTCTGTCGCCCAGGCTGGAGTGCAGCGGCTCAATTTCGGCTCACTGCAACCTCCGCCTCCCAGGTTCAAGCGATTCTCCTGCCTCAGCCTCCTGAGTAGTTGGGATTACAGGCGAGCAGGCGCCACCAGGCCCGGCTAATTTTTGTATTTTTAGTAGAGACGGGGTTTCACTGTGTTGGCCAGCCTGGTCTTGAACTTCTGACCTCACGTGATCTGCCCACCTCAGCCTCCCAAGCTGTTGGGATTACAGGTGTGAGCCACTGCGCCTGGCACAAAATGCTTTCTAATCAATCTTCTCAAAACCCTTTGCCAAATACTGTAGTAACGACGCCACGGATTTGCCCCTTTCCATCAAACTCTGCTAATAGGAATACTGGCTAATTCTTTTTTTCCTTGCCCCAGTTAGTGAACTTGTGGATGTGTGCAGTGGCCACTTTGGGGATGAGGAACCTTGTGCCCATGATGGTGATTCTAGGGAGAATTTCGAATCACATAGCAACATAGTTATCTAGTGCAGAAACCTTTTAGGACCTTTATAGGTGACCTATCTTCCTATGGTCCTTTTTATACTTGAAATGCAAACCTAAATATATTTTACTCTCTGATTAAATGTTATTTCTCCCTAGTTTTTCTATTTTTGATTTTCATTTAAAAAATACTATGGATTAGGTCTACTATCAGAGCAGTCTTTACAAGATAGCTTTTTTTTAAGAGACAGGGTCTCGCTCTGTCACCCAGTTTAGAGTGCAGGGGCGTGATCATAGGTCACTGCAGCTTCAAACTCCTGGGCTCAAGTGATTCTTCTGCCTCAGCCTCCTGAGTAGCTGGGACTACAGGCACACACCACTGTGCCTGTAAATAAAAAAAAATTATTTTATTTTTTGTAGAGAGAAGGTGTCGCTTCATTGCTCAGGCTGGTCTCAAACTCCTGGCTTCAAGCGATCCTCCTGCCTCACCCTCTGAAAGCACTGGGATTACAAGCGTGAGCTACCACGCTGGGCCCAAATCTTTCTAATTACCACATTTGAATAGCTATTTTCTTTACCTTCCTAGGAAGTGTTTTCAGACTATAAGAATAAAGACAGAAGTTGCATGAAAATAAGCATCCTCTTTGCTCTGTTCCTTGGTGGTAAATTCCATCTCAATAGTGTTGAGAGGTAGGGGGGTGAGTAAATCAGCATGTGAAAAGCAAGCCATTTTCTCTTTTACCCTCCCATTTTCTGATTTTGATTTGCTTCAGTAGCATCATTCCAGCATTCTCCAGTCCTCTAGACTTGGACATATTTGATTAATAATGATTATTATGGCTGTATACATTGTAGAGGACTTTGTACTTTTCAAAGTGCTTCTACGTTCATATATATATATTTTTCTCTTTCCTTCATCATCTGCTATTAATTCATCACCAAGTTCCAACTGATTCCATAGCTGTAATGTCTTTTAAATTCAACCACTTAATTTCAGTAGCTGACACTGTAAAAATCACAGCATAGTAGGGCTGGAAGGATCCTTAGAAACCACTTAATATGAGCTTCTCATTTTATAGATGTAGAAACTGAGATCTAATGTGGTTGAGTAACTTTGGCAAGATTATAGTTACCCCCTACCCCAGGCTCCTTGACTACTACTTTCAAGGCCATAAATCAATGGTTGACTGTTTGGTTTCACCCCCACCCACCTGCCCACCCCAGTTACGTTCCATTCTGTATAGAGTTGGGAGAAAAATATTTTTCAAATTCCATATTCTTTTTTTTTTTTTTTTGAGACGGAGTCTCGCTCTGTTGTCCGGGCTGGAGTTCAGTGGCGCGATATCGGCTCACTGCAAGCTCCGCCTCTCGGGTTCCCGCCATTTTCCTGCCTCAGCCTCCAGAGTAGCTGGGACTACAGGCGCCTGCTACCACGCCCGGCTAATTTTTTTGTATTTTTAGTAAAGACAGGGTTTCACCGTGTTAGCGAGGATGGTCTCGATCTCCTGACCTTGTGATCCGCCCGCCTTGGCCTCCCAAAGTGTTGGAATTACAGGCGTGAGCCCCCGTGCCCAGCCTCAAATTCCATATTCTTTTTTTTTTCTTCATTGTATTCTTTTTTTTTCTATTTTTTAATTTTATTATTATTATACTTTAAGTTTTAGGGTACATGTGCACAACGTGCAGGTTTGTTACATATGTATACATGTGCCATGTTGGTGTGCTGCACCCATTAACTCGTCATTTAGCATTAGGTATATCTCCTAATGCTATCCCTCGCCCCAAATTCCATATTCTTAAAGGTGGGCTCTTTCCTGGAGACTTAATGGGATTTCTTATTTTTCGATATATTAAATCAAAAGTCCGTTAAGTGGTTTTATTATGTATTTCTTCTTCTTCTTTTTTTTTTTTTTTTGAGATGGAGTCTTGCTCTGTCACCCAGGCTGGAGTCCAGTGGTGCGATCTCGGCTCACTGCAACCTCCACCTCCCAGGTTCAAGCAATTCTCCTGCTTCAGCCTCCCGAGTAGCTGGAATTACAGGTGTACGCCACCATGCCCAGCTAATTTTTGTATTTTATTAGTAGAGACAGGGTTTCACCATGTTGACCAGGCTGGTCTTGAACTCCTGCCCACATGATCCGCCCGCCTCGGCCTCCCAAAGTGCTGAGATTACAGGCATGAACCACCGCACCCGGCCATGCGTTCCTTCTTTATAAAGTAAACACGTGCATTTTTATAGTAAATGAATTACATTTGAATGTATGTTGTTTTTATAATGTCCTGAAATTTTGGGCATACATATTTTACTTACCCAGTATGCTTGAAATATCTTGAATTAGAAACTGTGCCATTTATTTCTTTTGTAAGCCTTTCTATGGTGTCTTAAACAGTGTTCTGAGTTGGTGCTCAATAAATAAAAATAAAGTTCTCGCCTGGCACCGTGGCTCATGCCTGTAATCCCAGCACTTTGGGAGGCCGAGGCGGGTGGATCACGAGGTTAGGAGATCGAGACCATCCTGGCTAACACGGTGAAACCCCGTCTCTACTAAAAATACAAAAAATTAGCTTGATGTGGTGGCACGCGCCTGCAGTCCCAGCTGTTCAGGAAGCTGAGGCAGGAGAGTCGCTTGAACCAGGGAGGCGGAGGTTGCAGTGAGCCCAGATCACGCCACTGCACTCCAGCCTGGGCAACACAGTGAGACTCCGTCTCAAAAATAAATAAATAAATAAAAATAAAATAAAAATAAAGTTCTCTTCGAAGTTAAGTGCAAAGACAGTGCTTGGAAATATTTCTTTCAATAATAAATGCCTACAAAATGCTTGTCATCTTCCTCTACTATACTTCTTCACTTACCATACTCATACTGTTGCATGAAAAATACCATATTTTTTCATGCAATTGCCTTTTTTCCTCATGTCACTCTATTCTCCTATAAACTCCTTGAAAGAAGGAACTGAGCCTCCGGTAGGTTCTGAATAACATAGTACGTTCTTAAGAAATATTGATTTCATCTAACTGCATTGGCTACACCAAGTGTTGTAGGAATACAGAGAAGCACAGAGGAAGGAATAATTAACTTTTCTGCAGGTGATGTCGTGCTAGAGAAAGCCATACCAACATCTGAGTTGAGTCTTGAATTTGCTGGGCATGGGGAACAGACATTTCAGGTAAATTACCAAGGTGCAGAGAGTTCCAACATTTTAGATGTGACTTTGTCTAAGATGCCCCAGTCAATCGGTGGTTTGCCATATTGAAAGCTCAGAACTCAAAGGGCTATTTATTTGAATTTCAATTGATTACTCAAGTTAAAACAAATGTTTTCTTAATATTGGATTAAATAAATCATTGGAACATAAATAAATTCAAGGAAACATGTTAGATAAAGGAAAAATTAGTAAGTTCAAATGTCTACTCTTAATAAAGCAAGGTAATTTGGTGAATCAGTAACCTCTATTTTAAAATTGCAACAAAGCTTTATAATATGATCCTATTGATTTTTTTACTTTTTCAAGAGTTTGAAACATTTAGTGACAATGTTTAAAAATCAGTTTAAAATATTAATCAAAAAAAGTAAAGGCATGTGAATGCTTTTCTAATTTTGTTGTTGTTGTTGTTATTTTAGACAGAGTCTCACTGTCACGTAGGCTGGAGTGCAGTGGTGCGATTTCGGCTCACTGCAACCTCTGCCTCCCGGGTTCAAGCGATTCTCGTGCTTCAGCTTCCAGAATAGCTGGGACTACAGGCCTGCGCCACCATGCCCGGCTAATTTTTGTATTTTTGGTAGAGAGTGGGTTTCACCACGTTGGCCAGGCTGGTCTGGAACTCCTGACCTCAGGTGATCCACCCGCCTTGGCCTCCCAAAGTGCTGGGATTATGGGCGTGAGCCACTGCGCCCGGCTTCGAAATATTTTTGACACTATAACTTGCACTGTATTTTGTTTTTAATACTTAAATGTGGTTCGTGAAAACTATTTTTATGTTTATGCTTCTGAGCTTCTGGTGCCCTCTAGTGGCAATAATTTACTGTTAAAACCTTACGTTTTGAAAATGATATAGTTTAATTCTAAATTCAACGTTTCACTGGGAGAAAATTAAATTGTAAATGATGGGAAGAAAGTGCTAATTTGGATCAGTGTAAAGTAATAACTCCTAGAAGCATTGTTGGAACATGTGATGAATAATCATTTAAGAAATAAGAGTGGGGGCTGGGCGCGGTGGGCTCACCACAGCCTTGACGCCCCCAGGCTCAGGTGATTCACTCACCCCAGCCTCCTGAGTAGCTGGGACTACAGGCATTAGCCACCACACCTGGCTAATTTTTTTTTTTTTTTGTATTTGAGACGGAGTCTCGCTCTGTCGCCCAGGCTGGAGTGCAGTGGGCGATCTCCGCTCACTGCAAGCTCCGTCTCCCGGGTTTACGCCATTCTCCTGCCTCAGCCTCCAGAGTAGCTGGGACTACAGGTGCCCGCCACCACGGCCGGATAATTTTTTTGTATTTCTTTTAGTAGATACGGGGTTTCACCGTGTTAGCCAGGATGGTCTCGATCTCCTGACCTCGTGATCTGCCTGCCTCGGCCTCCCAAAGTGCTGGGATTATAAGCGTGAGCCACAGCGCCTGGCCTTTTTTTTTTCTTTTCCCCTAGTCGGAGTCTCGCTCTGTTGCCCAGGCTGGAGTGCAGTGGGGCGATCTCGGCTCACTGCAAGCTCCACCTCCCGGGTTCAGCCATTCTCCTGCCTCAACCTCTGTAGTAGCTGGGACTACAGGCGCCCGCCACGGGGCCCGACTAATTTTTTTGTATTTTTAGTAGAGACGGGGTTTCACTGTGGTCTTGATCTCCTGACCTCGTGATCCGCCCGCCTCGGCCTCCCAAAGTGCTGGGATTACAGGCGTGAGCTACCGTGCCCGACCATATGTAGCATTTTCATTGGCTTATTTGGGGAATGGTACCTCCTGGTTGTCCTATATCTCTCCTTGGATCTCTCACTCACATCTCTCTCACACTTAAAGTTTAACATAATTCCCACATATGTTCTTTCTGGCTTTTTGTTTTGAGAGGGAGTCTGGCTCTGTCGTCCAGGCTGGAGTGCAGTGGTGCCATCTTGGCTCACTGCAACCTCCGCCTCCCTGGTTCAAGCAATTCTCTGCCTCAGCCTCCTTAGTAGCTGGGATTGCAGGGGCCCGCCACCATGCCAGGCTAATTTTTTTGTATTTTTAGTAGAGACGGGGTTTCACCATCTTGGCCAGGCTGGTCTTGAACTCCTGACCTTGTGATCCGCCTGCATCGGCCTCCTAAAGTGTTGAGATTATAGGCATGAGCCACTGCGCCCGGCCCCCTCTGGCTTTCATGATTATTTTTCCTTCCACCATTTTTTCGTCCCATTGATCTCTTTTCTATTCGCTAATCTATCTTTCTGTTCTGATGCTCTCTGTATTTTTTTTTTGAGAAGAAGTTTCGTTCTTGTTGTCCAGGCTGGAACGCAATGGCCCGATCTCGGCTCATTGCAACCTCTGCCTCCTGGGTTCAAATGATTCTCCTGCCTCAGCCTCCCAAGTAGCTGGGATTATAGGTGCCCGCCACCAAGCCTGGCTAATTTTTGTATATTTAGTAGAGATGGGGTTTCACCATGTTGACCAGGCTGGTCTTGAACTTCTGACCTCAGGTGATCTACCCACCTCGGCCTCGGCCTCCCAAAGTGCTGGGATTACAGGTGTGAGCCACCGTACCTGGTCCAATTTCTTTGTATTATTTATTGCCTTTCCTTTGTATTTTGTAACTGGTCTCCTTGAAAAGTTATCTTTTTTTTTTTTTTTTTGAGACGGAGTTTCATTCTTTTTGCCCAGGCTGGAGTGCAATGGTACGATCTCAGCTCACCACAACCTCCACCTCCGGGGTTCAAGCGATTCTCCTGCCTCAGCCTCCCGAGTAGCTGGGATTACAGGCATGTGCCACCACCCTGGCTAATTTTGTATTTTTAGTAGAGACGGAGTTTCTCCATGTTGGTCAGGCTGGTCTTGAACTCCTGACCTCAGGTGATCCACCCACCTTGGCCTCCCAAAGTGCTGGGATTACAGGCGTGAGCCACCGTGCCCGGCAATGCTAGGTATTCTTTTAAGCACTTTATAAATATTAACTCAATCTTCTCAACAATGTATGAAGTAATTGTTATCTCTACTGATGAAATTGAGGTACTGAGATATTAAGCAGCTTGACATAATTGTTCATGCTGAATATACCTCTCAAAAAACATGAACATTTTTCTATGTAACTACATCAAAGAAAAGTGACAATTTCTTAATATCATCTAAGATCTAGTCTGTGTTTAAACATCCGCAATTGTCCCTAGAATGTCTTTACAGCTAAATTGTTCAAATCAGGATATAAGTAAAGTCCACACATTGCTTTTGGTTGTTTGCTTAGGCCTCTTTAATCTGAACAGTTCTCTTCCTCATCCCTTTTTTTATGACCTTTCCTTGACCTTGCCTTGTTGAGAGGGAGAACCAATTGCCTGCAGAACGTCCCCTTTTGAATTTGTAGGATCAAAGCTCTATTTCACTGTTAGCTTGTTTTAGCTCACTTCTGGCTATAGGTGGCCTCAAGCATTCTGTTTGTTTGTCCTTAATCATGTGATATTTTATAAGATTTCTTTCTACTCACTTAGCTCTTCTAAGTTCATTAAAACCCTTGCTTGCCTTTTACCTTATAATACTACATACCACTGTGTTCTGGAACAACTCCCCCCTCCCCCGCTTTTTTTTTTTTTTCCGTTCAGGACTTCTGACATGTCTTTTAGATAGTATATGTCTGAGAGCTCTAAAATTCCTAACTCTGTGTTGTCAGGGTCTGTCTTTCCCCCAACTTCACTGTTCTACATCAGCATAGTACTGCCACCTAGAGGAACTTCTGAAAATTTGTGACATTTTTCGTTTGTCACAGTGACAGTGACTGGGGGCTGTACTGGCATATATTGACCAGAGGCCACACTTGGAATCATCCTCAACAACTAAGAATTATCTTACCTAAAATGCTAATAGTGCCTAGGTTGGGAACACTATGTAGTCGATCCTAGTTAACTTACTCTCAGCATGACTGACACAATGTGATACACCAGCACGTAGTAGATGCTTAATAAATATTTGTTGCAGCTGGGCACAGTGGTTCATGCCTGTAATTCCAGCACTTTGGGAGGCTGAGGTGGGCAGATCCGAGGTCAGGAGTTCGAGACCAGCCTGGCCAATATGGTGAAACCCCATCTCTATTAAAAATACAAAAATTAGCCGGGCGTGGTGGTGCACGCCTGTAGTCCCAGCTACTTGGGAGGCTGAGGCTTGAACCTGGGAGGCGGAGGTTGCAGTGAGCCGAGATCGCACCACTGCACTCCAGCCTGGCCACAGAGCAAGACTCTGTCTCAAAAAAAAAAAAAATTTGTTGCATAAATGAATGCATTTTGAAATTTGACTTTTGTAAAGCAGACTATTTTGCCAGAAAAAAAAATTCACAAAAGTTAACTATTTTGTTAGAAATCCTTTAATTACAAGTGAGAAAAATTCAGCTTATACTGGATTATGTAATTGAAAAGTCCAGGGGTATCTGCCTTCAGAAATTGCTGGATCCTGAGGGTCAAGTGGTATTATCTATACTTAATCTCCTTTAATTTTTTGACTTTCTACTCTGGGTATTGACTTCACTTTCTGAAAGGCTTTCTCCTCAAGGTGGCGCCCAGCAGCTCAAGGCTTATATCCCTCTACCCTCAAGCCCAGCAGAAAAGATAATTCTCTTTACTCAACAGTTTAAACCCATACTTTAATCTTACCGGAGTTATTTGCAACATCTGTGCGTCTCTAAACCAATCATTGTGCCCTGATGAGATGGGGTACATTGGTGGGTCAGGCTGGATTGTGTCTTTTCCCTCACCCAAGACAGGAATTGAGTTAGCCCACCTGATCCAGATGCCTTTATCAGAAGAGGGAATGGATGCTGAGCAGGAAACAAACCACACACATTTCCACTGTACAAACCATCACTCTACAAAATATCACAAAAGTATCCATTCAGTCACTGTCACCTGTGCTAGGCACAGATTTTAAAAGTATAATTATGCAATGTAATTTTAATGTAATTTTACAGTATTGCTCATATATTTTGAATATCTTATGATGTAAAGCATCATCTCTTTCTTACCACAAAACTAGAAACTAAGGGATATTCCAAACAAAACTGAATCCTTTAATTAAATTCCACAGGTATTTCTTAAGGCCTACTTTTGTTATCAAATTCCTAGTAAAATAATTGCAGAGCAATTCAAGATAGTATGTATCAAAATGCTAAATTTAATCTGACTTCTAAAATGAGGGGCAGACAGTATGTTCTGCCAGTCGCGGTGGCTCACGCTTGTAATCCTAGAACTTTGGGAGGCTGAGGTGGGCAAATCACTTGAGGTCAGGAGTTCGAGACCAGCCTGGGCAACATGGTGAAACCCCGTCTCTACTAAAAATACAAACATTAGCCGGGTGTGGTGGCATGTGTCTGTAGTCCCAGCTACTCGGGAGGCTGAAGCAGGAGAATCGCTTGAATGCAGGAGATCAAGGTTGCAGTGAGCTGAGATTGTGTCACTGCACTCCAGCCTGGCACTGGGTGTCAGAGCGAGACCCTGTCTCAATAAATAAATAAATAAATAAATAAATAAATAATAAAACATGGTGCAGACAGTACCCTAGGCCCGCTAGGCTTTGCCTATGGGGAAAGTGAATGGGCAGCAGGAAATAATATTTATAGACAATGTTATCTCTCTGAATATATGTTATGAGTATGTAGCTGCTGTTGTTAAAAATTAAATGTCTATTAATAGTATTTTTGGCCACTGTTATTTAGCAGATACCAAGAGAAACTCATTTTTTAACTTAAAAAGGACTTAATTGCCTCAAAAAGGCTGGGATTTCTGATTCAGGCAATCAAATATTCTTGTTACAGAGATACCTTTTCCCATCTCTCTCATCCTCTCCCAAGTCTGAAATACCTCCCTCTGCCTTTTACTGGAAAAAATCAGAGGAAGAAGAGAGTATGGCTAGAAAGGCAGGTGAAGGAGAAAACAAAGGGAGAAGGAGACAGGGAGAGGGAAAAGAAGAAGAAATATAGGAAGACGAAGTTGATATGCAAGATTTGTTGAGTGGCTGTTGTTTAACAGGAAAGGTCATGTGGGCATGAGGGGGTGTTTCACTTTATATATTGTCCTTTATGTTTACATTGATATTACTCCATAATCAATAGTCAAATACATTTCAGTCCTCATCCCAACTGAACTCAGAAGCATTTGGTACTATTGTTCATGCTTTCTTTCTTGGAATTGTCTTTTTCATTTTTTTGAGATAAGGTCTCACTCTGTCACCCAGGCTGGAGTGCAGTGGCACTATCTTGGCTCACTACAACCTCTGTCTCCTGGGCTCAAGAGATCTTCCCATCTCAGCCTCCCAAGTAGCTGGGACTACAGGCTCATGCCACCATGCCCAGTTAATTTTTGTATTTTTTGTAGCGATGGAGTTTCACCATGTTGCCCAGGCTGATCTCACACTTCTGGGCTCAAGCAATCCGCCCACCGAGGCCTCCCAAAATGGTAGGACTACAGGCATGAGCCACCGCACCCGGCTTTTTCATTATATGTTGTAATTTTATTTTCTCCTGTAGCAGGAGAGAATACCTGTTTTTCTACTTACTCTTTAAATGGTGTTTCCCAAAGTTCCTTGTTTTGCTCTTGACAAAACAAACAAACAAACAAACAAAAAACTCATTCTTTGTGTTCTCAGAGATCAGTTTATGCTGATGACTCAAATTTATGTTGCCAGCCAAAAATTTTATTTGAATTCCAGACTTACATTTCCATCTGACTTATGGATATTTATACCCAGCTGTCTTGTAATTATCTCAAAAGGTTTGGACCTGAGCTAATCTTTCTTTATGTACATGACCTGCCTTTGTTCAAAAAGTATATCAAAAGAGAACCATTTGGGTTCTTATTATTTCAGTTATCTATTGCTACAATAATACTGCCTAACAAATCACCCCCAAAGTTCATTGGCTTAAAATAATAATAATCATTTATTATGACTGACAGCTGGTTTCACTTATGCATTATGAGGTTACATGGCTCCGCTGAACGTGACTGGGCTTTCACATGTTAGGGGACAGCTGGCTATAGACTGGGTTAAGTTGAACTTGGTTGGATAACTGGTTTCTTCTTCATATGTCTCGTACATGCATATGTTTGTCATGTCCCTCCAGCAGGCTAGCCTGGGCATTTTTTCAAGCAATCTTGTGGAATATGCTCATGGTGATCATAGAAAACTAAAAGAGATTGGAAAGACTCAAGAACTTTTTCAAGTTGCTGCTTTCTTCAAGTTTGCCAGTGTCACACTGGCCAAAACATACCACATTGCCCAGCACAGAGTCAGAGTCGGGGAAGACTAAATAGAATTATATAATAGGTTAAAGGGTATACATACTGGAACCCATTTAATTGAGGCCATTAATGCAATCGGTCTACTGTACTTACCGAAGTTAGACTTGGAGTCAACCTTGGTTTCTCTGTTTTTCTTACTTTTTATGAAGTTGGTCATGTCTTCTTCATTCTTCCTCAGAAATAGAATCATTCCTTTCCATCAGTGCCCATCAATGCTGCATAATTCCGAAGAATTTAACCATCACTCTTGTGATAGTTAATTCTATGCTTCAACTGGACTGGGCCAAGGAGTGCCCAGGTTAAACATCGTTTCTGAGTTTGTGAGGGAGTTTCTGGATGAGATTGGCACTTAAATTGGTGGATTAAGTACAGTAGATGGCCCTCCCCAGTGTGGGTAGGTATCATCCAATCCATCCTGAGATTGGAAAAAGGCAGAGGAAGGAGGAATTTCTTCCTTTTTGCTTCCTGCCTACTGCCTGATTGAGCCGGGACATCAGTTGTCTTCTGCCCTTAAGTTGGGATTTACCCCAGTGGCACCCCTGGTTCTCAGGCCTTTGGGCTTGGACTGGAATTTATACCACTGGCTTTCCTGGCTCTCTAGCTTGCAGATGGCAGATAGTGGGGCTTCTCAGCCTTCATAATCACACGATCTAATTATTTCTTACTCAATTTCTTCCTCTTTCTCTTTATATGTATCCTGTCCCACTGGTTCTGTTTATCTGGAGAGCCCTGACTAATACAGCTCTCCTGGATTAGTACAATAGCCTTTGCACTCGTGGGTTCTCTTCTCTCCCCTTATCAAGTTCTACATCGAATCACAATAAAACTGGTTTAGTTTCTGTATGAGCCCTGCAGATCCTCATCAGTTGGTCTCTCCCTTCTCAGGCAGCCCTGACCCACAACTCCGGAGATGTTTAAGCCCTCCCAGGGTGTGCCACAGTGAGGAGCTCCAGGGAATGTGGACAGGCGTGAGCCACTGTGCCTTCCCTTCATTGTTTTGTTTTAAATCACCATTCACTACCTTTACATTTCATTAGTGGTTATCAGATTTATGTGCATTAGGCTGAGTGTGGTGGCACCTGCCTCTAATCCCAGCACTTTGGGAGGCCGATGAGGGTGGATCACCTGATGTCAGGAGTTCAAGACCAGCCTGGCCAACATGGTGAAATCCTGTCTCTACTAAAAATACAAAAATTATCAGAGCATAGAGGCATGTGCCTGTAATCCCAGCTACTTGGGAGGCTGAAGCAAGAGAATCGCTTGAACTTGGGAGGCAGAGGTTGCAGTGAACTGAGATTGTGCTATTGTACTCCAGCCTGGGTGACAGAGCAAGACTCTCTCTCTCTCTCAAAAAAAAAAAAAAAGTGCATTATAATCATCTGGCAGGCTCATTAAAACAGATTTCTGAGGGCCATCCCTAGATTTTATGATTAGGTAGACTGAGGGTGGGGGCCAAGAACTTCATTTCTTACTTTCCCGCCCCATAGTGATACACTGATGCTGATAGTCTTGCGACTGCAGTTTGAAAACTACCTTATTTATGAATACAGTCCTAACTCCTCAGCATAGCAAAGACCTCCATAACTCGACCTTGGGTGTGAAGAACAGGGGATTCTGCCAGGAAGTAGTGACAATGCAGGGAGCACTGTGGGGCAGAAAAAAATCTCTTCCTTCTTCCATTTTGAGTTTGTGGCTGGGGCCCCTGTAACAAAAGAAAGATTAACAAAAGAAAAGCATACACGTTTATTTATTTATTATTTTTTTTTCACGATGGAGTTTCACTCTTGTTGCCCAGGCTGTAGTGCAATGGTGCGATCTTGGCTTACCACGACCTTCGCCTCCCGGGTTCAAGCGAATCTGCTGCCTCAGACTCCCTAGTAGCTGGGATTACAGGCATGCGCCACCACGCTTGGCTAATTTTTGTTTTGTATTTTTAGTAGAGATGGGGTTTCTCCATGTTAGTCAGGCTGGTCTCGAACCCCCGATCTCAGGTGATCTGCCTGCCTCAGCCTCCTAAAGTGCTGGGATTACAGGCGTGAGCCACCACACCCGGCCACATTTATTTAGTATAAGTTTTTGTGACAGGAAGCGTTCATAAGGAAATGAAGACCAAAAGAAATAATTAGAACTGAATGTTTTTATGCTGAGCTTGATGAGGTGTGGAGGTCATGGAGAAATATAATAGGAGGACAAAAGGGCATGATCTAATGGGAATAAGCTGGGGAAACTTTTTTTTTTTTTGAGACAGAGTCTCACTCTTTCGCCCAGGCCGGAGTGCAGTGGCGTGATCTCAGCTCACTGCAAGCTCCGCCTCCCGAGTTCACGCCATTCTCTTGCCTCAGCCTCCTGAGTAGCTGGGACTACAGGTGCCCGCCACCGTGCCCGGCTCATTTTTTGTATTTTTAGTAGAGACAGAGTTTCACTGCGTTAGCCAGGATGGTCTCGATCTCCTGACCTCGTGATCCACCCGCCTTGGCCTCCCAAAGTGCTGAGATTACAGGGGTGAGCCACCGCACCTGGCCTAAACTGGGGAAACTTAACAAGGCTTGTTTGTTCAGATTCCTCTTGGTGTCCTGTGTCTTCAGAGATAAGGAAGCCCCTTTCCTCTGGGTACAGAGTGGGCATCTTTCAGATGGGGCTCTTGGAGCTGCTTCAGGAGAAGGTCAGAAAATCCTTCTCGCATATGCTGCTTCTCAGAGTCCTTCAGCCTCAGGTATTCAATGTGCCAAGGTGTCTATATTAGTCCATTTTCACGCTGCTGATAAAGACATACCCGAGACTGGGTAATTTATAAAGAAAAAGAAGTTTAATGGACTCACATCACAGTTCCTCATGGCTGGGAAGGCCTCACAATCATGGTGGAAGGCAAAAAGTGTGTCTTACATGGTGGCAGACAAGAGAGAATGAGGACCAAGTGAAATAAGTTTCCCTTTATAAAACCATCAGATCTCGTGAGACTTATTTACTACTATGAGAACAGTATGGGAGAAACCGCCCTCATGATTCAATTATCTTCCACCAGGTCCCTCTCACAACACGTGGGAACTATGGGAACTACAACTCAAGATGAGATTTGAGTGGGAACACAGCCAAATCATATCAGTGCCTTATTTTGGAGTAGCATATCCTGAACCCTGTGAGCCCCAACTCAGCCATTCCTTACTGGAGACTCACCTGGGACACATGTGAAAAAAAACCCACACCTGGATTACCCTCCTGAAATCTGACTTAAATGAATATCAAGAAATAGTCTGAAGGGAAAAGAAGGTACTAAAGGCAAATAGCCTCATTAACTAGTATAGCATTACCTAGGAGAAGAAGTGTGTGTTCAAGAGGGGAGTGTTGAGGCCCTTGCTGTTGAGTCCCTTTGGTACCCTCAGCAGGATGGGTTTTGTAAGCAGGTTATGCCTTCAAGTCCATCTTATTAGCTGTTGGTGCAGTTGCTTTCTTCTTCTGCTACATTTGTAAATTAATGAGGTGCTCCATCCTTTCACCTCCACTTAAGGGTAGGAGGTGACGGTACTGGGGAGCGTGTGTTCTGAGGCTGTACAAGAATTATGTGGAAGCTTTGAAAAGACATACAGATTCCTATTGCATATGTACCAACTGAGAACCTCCAGAATGAGAGCTTAGAATCTGTATTTTAATTTAGTTTTATTAATTTTTAAAGTGTGGTTGGATGCGGTGGCTCATACCCGAAATCCCAAAACTTTGGGAGGTCGAGGTGGGCAGATCACTTGAGCCCTGGGGTTCAAGACCAGCCTGGGCAACATGGCAAAACCCCATCTCTAAAAAAATGCAAAAATTAGCCAGGTGTGGTGGTGGATGCCTATAGTCCCAGCTACTGAGGTGGCTGAGGTGGGAGGATCACCTGAGCTCGGGAAGTTGGGGCTGTGGTGAGCCGTGATCGTGCTGCTGAACTCCAGCCTGGATGACGGAGTGAGACCCTGTCTTATTATTAGTTTAAAAAACACAGAAAAATATAAACAAGAACACAAAATTGGCCCATGTTTCCTTTATCTGGATAACCCATGTTGACATAAAAAAGCCAAAAACACGCATGGGTTTGGAAAATTCACATAGCATTGAAGATACAAAACAAAGTAAAAAGTAAAAACTTCTCTCTTCCCACCTACCCTTAGACTCTTTCCTAAAAGATTATTACTACTTTTCTGTGTTTTTACCTAGGTAACATTTGGGAATCCACTTTTTTGGGGAAAATCTCCCCCATTAATTATCATGATTAGTCAGATTTGAGAGTTGCTGCTCTGAGGAAATAGAGAGACACATTCATGCATTCAACTTGTGCCAAGACAGTTAGGCTTCATTAGCCCAGCCTTTATGTGGTAACAGATACAATATGTATTTCCATTCCATCAGTATCCATCCAGTAAATCTTTATCCACCTAAGTAAATTTTATTTTATTTTATTTTATTTTAATTAATTTATTTTTTTGATACTGAGTCTTGCTGTATCGCCTAGGCTGGAGTGCAGTGGCAAGATCTCGGCTTACTGCAACCTCCGCCTCCCAGGTTCAAGTGATTCTCCTGCCTCAGACTCCCAAGTAGCTGGGACTACAGGTGCCAGCCACCATGCCCAGCTAATTTTTGTATTTTTAGTAGAGATGGGGTTTGACTATGTTGGACAGACTGGTCTTGAACTCCTGATCTCGTGATCTGCCTGCCTTGGCCTCCCAAAGTACTAGGATTACAGGCTTGAGCCCTCCCAAAGTGCTGGGATTACAGGCTTGAGCCACCGCGCCCAGCCGGAAATCTTTACTGTGGTAAGTGGTGTAAGAGACAAAAATGAATTGCAGCCCTGGTCACGCCCTTAAGGAAGGATCTTCTATCCATGTATTGTAAGATATAAATAACTAACTACCGCTGGGCACGGTGGCTCACGCCTGTAATCCTAGCACTTTGGGAGTCCAAGGTGGGTGGATCACGAGGTCAGGAGATCGAGACCATCCTGGCTAACACGGTGAAACCCTGTCTCTACTAAAAATAGAAAACATTAGGCAGGTGTAGTGGCAGGTGTCTGTAGTCCCAGCTACTCGGGAGGCTGAGGCAGGAGAATGGCGTGAACCCGCGTGGCAGAGCTTGCAGTGAGCCGAGATCGCGCCACGGCACCTCCAGTCTGGGCGACAGAGCGAGACTCCGTCTCAAAAATAAATAGCTAACTAACGAACTGACTAACTAACTCCTGTAAGCCTGGAAGAAATGAAGCTCTCATAGAGGTTTAAGACATTGCCATGGGCAGCAGAAAGAGGACCAATTCATGAGTTCTGGTGGGCAGGCAGCATTTGAATTGTCTTTAAAGGATAACAAGTGAAATGGTAAAGAAAGAGGGGTGGAAACGGGAGGCCAAGTCCAGTCCAAGGAATAGTGTGAGTCAAAGTGTGAGACCACCACATCATTTAAGCAGGAGGCAGGGGCTTAAAAACTTATTGTCCCATTAAAGATTTGGAACTGTTTATAGACAATGGGAAATTTTGAACGTTTTTGAGAAGAGATTTAACGGGACAAGACTGATGCTTTGAAAAATAATACTTGTGGGCAACAGGTTCACAGAGAATCAGGCCGCTGGAGAATAATTTTTAAAGACTCAACTGAAATTTGTACTGATATTCAACACAGTCTCTCCACCAGTTTCCCCTCTTCTCGTGGGTTTTGTACAGCAGGAGTGTGATGGATGCTTTTGTGTTTGGACCAGCTGGAGGTGGAGAGGCCAGTTACTGATAATCTGCAGTATAGACAGTGAAAGAAAAAAGAGAGTAGGGCATAAAGAGATGTGCCTAAGGTAGAATCAGAACTTGGTGACCAGAGGGGCTGGTAAGAGAGAAAGACAATTAAAATGGATAATTCCTAAGATTTCACCAAAGGCGGTGGCTTATGCCTGTAATCCCAGCACTTTTGGAGGCCGAGGCAGGTGGATTACTTGAGGTCGGAAGTTCGAGACCAGCCTGGCCAACATGGTGAAACCCTGCCTCTACTAAAAATACAAAAATTAGCTGGGTGTGGTGGCACGTGCCTGTAATCCCAGATACTTGGGAGGCTGAGACAGGAGAATAGCTTGAACCCAGGAGGTGGAGGTTGCAGTGAGCCGAGATTGGGCCGCCGCACTCCAGCCTGGGTGACAGAGCTAAGCTCCATCACACACACACACACACACACACACACACAAGAAAAAAAATTCTAAGATTTTAAGATTTCTAGGCTAATAGACCAGGTGAGTGTTGGGTATCGTTAACTGAGAAGGGAAGGTAGGAAAATGGGCAGGTTGTAGGGTAGAGGTTGCTCACGGCTTTTGTAGGAAGATGGAAGTATATCACTTTAAGTTTGAGTTACACTGGGAGTATTCATATAGGGAGACCAACCTAGCGGACATGAGAAATTAGGTCTGAAGCTCACAAAATTGGTCAGAGCCAGGTATATAGGTTTGAGTAGTTGTAGGTCTATAAGGACTGACGTCTTGGAGGCGGATGGGACTGCATGAAGGCTGTGGTTTTCCACACTTTCGCATGTGTAAGAATCTCCTGGAGGGCTTGTTAAAACATGTTGCAGCCCAGCCACCCTTGGAGTTTCTGATTCAGTCTGGTTAGGGCTCAATAATTTGCAGCTCTAACAAGTTCCCGGGTGGTGCTGATGCCATTGGTCTAACTACTACGTTCTGAGAAGCGCCAGCCTAGGGAACGTGTAGTGAGAGAAGAGAACTAAGGGTAGGATTTGGGGGAGTGTTCTGGTTAAGAAGGAAGTGAAGGAAGAGGAAGTAGTGAGGGATACTGTAAGGGAAGAAAAACATCCTTTCCCTTCTACCCTCCTAAGTTCCCAGCTGGGGCCCCTGTAACAAAAGATTAGCAAGAGAAAAACATACAAATTTATTTAATATAAGCTTTACATGACATGAGAATTCTCGTATAGAAGTGAATACTAAAAGAAGCAGAGTCAAATGCTTATTTACTGAATTGGACAAAGAGCAGTAAATTCTGAAAATGTGACAAGACAAAAAGGCTTGAGCTAGGACAATTCATGGTGGAAAAGTAACTAGGAAGGGAAGAGTGAGCTTGACAAGGTTTGTACAGATTTTTCTCAGCCTTAACTCCCCATCTCTCTGGTAAAAATGTTACTTTCCTTCTGGAGTAGGGAGCACATCTTCCATATGGGAATTTTATTTCCTGTTTTTAGGAAGAAAAAGGAAAGGTCAGAACCTTTCTTGTACTTGCTGTTTTTTAAGTGTCTTTAGCTCAAAATAACCCTTGTGCCAAATTGGCATATTTTGGGGTGGCATATTCCACTACTCTTCAATACTTACAGATTTGTCTTAGAGTTTTCATCACATTGTAATAAAAATAGTTGCACATTAAATATGTACATTATGCACATGTATTTGCATATTAAGTAGGCATCTATCAGGGACACAGGAAGTTTCATAAGAAAACTAGGGAAAGAGAGAATGCTGTGAATCCCATATATTTGGTCTTTCTAGGAATCCCTCTCACTCTGTTTCATCCCTGAATGGCTTTCGGTTGAGAGTCACCCATTTCACACAACCCTCTCTATTAACTGAGCAGCTTTTACTCATCCCTGAAACAAAAAAGTCAAACCAAATTTATATCCTGAGATCTCCTATTAGTTGTTTCTAAAAATTGAAAGGATTTTAATTTTTCAAACTCTGAGAAAAATAAAAATAATATGAGTTACACAAATAACTCAGTGAATGTTGGCATAATATATTCTTCTTAATTTAGTTAAATTGTTTCCATACACAGTTTTGTTTGGAAGGGTGAGCTACAGCTGATGGGCAATATACGTATGTAAGGCTTACATGTGCAAAATCACACAGCAGGAACTGGCTCACCAAGTAAATTTTTATTTATTTATTTATTTATTTTTTGAGACAGAGTCTTGCTCTGTCGCTCAGGCTGGAGTGCAGTGGCAGGATCTCAGCTCACTGCAAGCTCCGCCTCCTGGATTCACGCCATTCTCCTGCCTCAGCCTCCTGAATAGCTGGGACTACAGACACCTGCCACCACGTCCAGCTAATTTTTTGTATTTGTTTTAGTAGAGACAGGGTTTCACCGTGTTGGCCAGGATCGTCTTGATCTCCTGACCTCGTGATCCGCCCGCCTCGGCCTCCCAAAGTGCTGGGATTACAGGCGTGAGCCACAGCGCCTGGCATGTAAATTTTTAAAAAGCCCTGCTAATAAAGATACTGAAAAATATTCAAAGTAGTTTTAAAAAAATACATCTATAATCTTTTTTTTTTTTTTTTTGAGACAGAGTCTCGCTCTGTCACCCAGGCTGGAGTGCAGTGGCACGATCTCGGCTCACTGCAACCTCCACCTCCCAGGTTCAACCGATTCTCCTGCCTCAGCCTCCCGAGTAGCTGTAATTACAGGCATGTGTCACCACACCCGGCTAATTTTTGTATTTTTAATAGAGATGGGGTTTCACCATGTTGGCCAGGCTGGTCTTGAATTTCTGACCTCAGGTGATCCGCCCGCCTCGGCCTCCCAAAGTGCTGGGATTACAGGCTTGAGCCACCGCGCCCGGCTCATCTATAATCTTATATTTGAGAAGTAATCACCATGAAGATTTAGGTTTCTTTCTTTCTTTTTTTTTTTGAGACGGAGTTTTGCTCTTGTCATGCAGGCTGGAGTGCAATGGCGCGATCTCGGCTCACTGCAACCTCTGCCTCCTGGGTTCAAGCGATTCTTCTGCCTCGGCCTTCCGAGGAGCTGGGATTACAGGTGCACGTGACCACGTCTGGCTAATTTTTGTATTTTTAGTAGAGACGGGGTTTTGCCATGTTGACCAGGCTGGTCTTGAACTCCTGACCTCAAGTGATCCGCCTGCCTCAGCCTCCCAAAGTGCTGGGATTACAGGTGTGAGCCACCACACCTGGCCAATCCCAGTATTTTTATGCTGGGTTTGAAGTAGCTGAGATTATGGGAGCCCACCACCACGCCTGGCCAATTTTTGTATTTTTAGTAGAGATGGGGTTTCACCAAGTTGGCCAGGCTGGTCTTGAACCCCCAACCTCAAGTAATCCCCCTGCCTCGGCCTCCCAAAATGCTGGGATTACAGGCATGAACCACCGCAGCTGGCCCTGAAATATGACTTCTAATTAACTATCATTTGAACAAACATCTGTGGAGGATACAATGAAATCCATGTGTAGCTAAGGGTTGGGGAGACTGGGATAGAAGAATGCACAGTCCTTCTCCTTAAAGAGTTTGTCATTTCTCGCTGCTCTGAAGCAGGTAGGTTGATATCTGTGACTTGCTTACCCCTTGTAATAATGGTGTCAATTCGAACCAATCGCTGACAAGGGGCGCCAGCCTGCAATAGGATTGTTACCTAGATTATTCGTGTTTGTGTTTAGGGGAATGTGGAATGTGGGAGTGGCTGTTAGATAACCACCCAGTACACCATTGGCTGCAACTACTTTGTTTGTTGAATTTTTTTGTCTGGGGGAAATCGAATGTGTAATAACTTCTGACTTCTCAACATCATCATTTATAGGCAGTACTAGTGCTTTCCACTGATTTCTGACGTGCTGAGCTAGCTTAAACTACCTATTCTTCACATCACATTGGACCTCCAGGGAAATCTAATTTGTACCAAAGTTGTCAGGAATTGAAGTTTGTCCCTGTGCAAGTTTACTATTAGGTTGGTGCAAAAGCAACTTTTAAATATGTCATCATTCAGTTTGAGCGATCCTGCAACCCTTATTTGTTAGTGCTGTTTTCTGGGAGTGCCGAGCCACCTCTCTTGGTGAAGTCCTGGTATATTTTTTAATGTACATCCTATAATATATATGTGGGATAAGTAATTTTCTGGATAATTCTGCTTTTTAAAAAAAAGCCACTTTGGCCGGGTGCGGTGGCTCACGCCTGTAATCCCAGCACTTTGGGAGGCTGAGGCGGGCAGATCACAAGGTCAGGAGATCGAGACCATCGTGGCTAACACGGTGAAACCCCGTCTCTACTGAAAAATAGAAAAAATTAGCCGGGCGTGGTGATGGGCGCCTGTAGTCCCAGTTACTTGGGAGGCTGAGGCAGGATAATGGCGTGAACCCGGGAGACGGAGCTCGTGGTGAGCCAAGATTGCGCCACTGCACTCCAGCCTGGGCGACAGAGCGGGACTCGGTCTCTAAAAAAAGAAAAAAAAAGGCCATTTTATTTTTATTGACAAAGAAGTACATAGATTTCTCATTTTCTTCTTATTTACTTACACAATGATCTCAATTATACAAATGTATGAGAGGACTCCTCAGATATTATCACTGGATTTAGCACTTTCCTCAAAGTTCTGGAATGTGGAGTACTCTAAATGTTTTATGGACGCATTCACACACATTTTAATTTCAGGATTGTTCAGTTGTCTTCTTGCCTTCACCTGAACATATCCTAAAGTAGGAGGAAAATGAAACCTTTATGATAGAGCCTGACATTCTGGTTTCCAGAAACAAGGGGTTTCTTGCAGGGCATCATTATTTCCTTTTTCCAGGAACTCTGCCAGAAGATGGCATTGTGCTCAGAGCCCCTTCCACTGCACTGTCAATAGAAGCCAGTGAGCCAGGTGTGGTGGTTCACACCTGTAATCCTAGCACTTTGGGAGGCCGAGGTGGGCGGATCATCTGAAGTCAGGAGTTCAAGACCAGCTTGGGAAACATGGTGAAACCCTGTCTCTACTAAAAATACAAAAATTAGCCAGGCTGGTGGTGCACGCTTGTAGTCCCAGTTACTTGGGGGGCTGAGTTGCGGTGCTAAGATTGCGCCACTGCACTCTAGCCTGGGTGACACAGTGAGACTCTGTCTCAAAAAAAAAAAAAAAGAAGTCAGTGAAAACTCTGCAGCACTGGGAAAGCCCATTATCCTCAGCAAGGCTGACAGGAAATGAATTTGCTTGTGCATCTCCAGTCAAGGGCAATGCCATTAAGGTCTGCAAAACTACAATATTGCAGTCTAAAGATTTTTAAATTCTATTGCTGGCACACCAGTAAGACGCTTTTGTTTCAATTAGACCAAGGGCTGGAAACCTAAGTAACAAAGACACAGTGATTATGGTAGAAAACAATTATAATTATGAAAGAAACAAGTGAATTCTAATATATGTTGAGTTAGCTGTAGAATATAGGTAACTCTGTATAGTATAATATTAATTTAATGTATAATATGATTCATATGTAGAACAATAGCATATAATTATTGGATTAGGCTGTTCTTACACAGCTATGAAGATACTACCGAGACTGGGTAATTTATAAAGGAAAGAGATTTAATTGACTCAGTTCCAAATGGCTGGGGAGGCATCAGGAAACTTACAATCATGGCGGAAGGGGAGAGAGAGCAAGTGTGTGAAGGAGGAACTGTTAGACATGCATAAAACCATCTGATCTCGTGAGAACTCAGTCACTATCATGAGAACAGCATGAGGGACACTGCCCCCATGATCCAATCATCTCCCACTGTCTCTCCCTTGACATGTGGGGATTATCAGGATTACAATTCAAGATAAGATTTGGGTGAGGACACAAAGCATAACCATATAAATTATATAACTATTTGTTATACTTTAATGACCATAAGTTGAACCCATTTTTAATTTTTGATAGTATTTTCTTTCTTAAAAAAAGTTATTATTTTTTTGAGACAAGGTCTTACTCTCATCACTCAGGCTGGAGTGCAGTGGTGTGATCACAGCTCACCGCAGCCTCCACCTCCTGTGCTCAAGTGATTATTGTGCCTCAGCCTACCAAGTAGCTGGGACTGCAGGTGCACATCACCACGCCTGGATAATTTTTTGTAGGGAAGGGGTTTCACCATGTTGCCTAGGCTGGTCTCAAACTCTCAAACTCCTAGGCTCAAGGGATCTCTGCCTGCCACCACGCCTAGCTAATTTTTGTATTTTTAGTAGAGACGGGGTTTCACCATGTTGGCCAGGCTGCTCGTGAACTCCAGACCTCAGGTGATCTGCCTACCTTGGCCTCCCAAAGTCCTGGGATTACAGGCATGAGCCACCACACCCAGCTGAAAAGTAAACTTTCCTTATTGAATTTCTGACTTCCATTTCCACTGTCAATGGTAACTAATCGTGTTTTATATATTCTTTCAGAAAGAAAAAAAACAAATTGTCTAAAAAACAGAAATAAGCTCATATTCTTCATTATTTTAATATTAATTATTAATACTATGAAAGAGATTGTCAATCAATTGTAAAGCATGGCCTTATTTGCATCCTGATTTTTAAAAATCATAAAAAACACACAGACTCTATTTTTTTTACAGGTGCTTATTACATAAGTATGTTCATTTTATAAAAATTCATCAAGCTGTCTACTTATAAATATTGCAACATAAAGTTTACTTATAAGTATTTATGACACAAGCAACGAATTTTAACAGTGACTATTTTTGATAATATTAAGAAATTGTTAATTTTTAAAGTGTGATAACAGTATTTTTTTTTTTTTTTTTTTTGAGACAGAGTCTCACTCTGTTGCCCAGGCTGGAGTGCAGTGGCGTGATATTGGCTCACTGCAACCTCTACCTCCAGGGTTCAAGTGGTTCTCCTGCCTCTGCCTCCCGAGTAGCTGGGACAACAGTTGCATACCACCATGCCCGGCTAGTTTTTGTATTTTTAGTAGAGACAGGGTTTCACCATATTGGCCAGGCTAGTCTCGAACTCCTGACCTCGTGATCCGCCAGTCTCGGCCTCCCAAAGTGCTGGAATTACAGGCGTGAGCCACCGCGCCCAGCCTGGGTTAAGTTTTTAGAAGTCTTTATATTTTAAGATATATATTGAAATGCTTACTGATAAAATCTAGGATTTTTTTCAAAATAATCTCATATGTGTTTCTGGAAAGGGGATGGGAATAGAAGTGAAACGCTGGCCATGATTTGCTAATTGTGAAGGCAAAATGATTTGAGTCATTATACTATTCTCTCTACTTTTGTTTATATCTCATTATACTATTCTCTTTACTTTTGTTTCTATTTACCTTTTTCCATAAGAAATTGAAACATATTTTCATAAAATATTTTCCAACTATACAAACAGCTATACAAACAATAGTAATGGAATCAAATAGTGCTTACCTATGTGCCAGGCACTCTTTAAGTCCTTTACATATATTAACTTATTTGATCCTTAGTATACCCCTGTGAGATATATATTATTTTTATCCCCATGCTACAGGTGAAGAAACCAGATTAAAGGCTGGGCTCGGTGGCTCACGCCTGTAATTGCAGCACTTTGGGAGGCCGAGATGGGTGGATCACCTGAGGTCAGGAGTTTGAGATCAGTCTGGCCAACATGGTGAAACCCCCTGTCTCTACCAAAAATACAAAAATTAGCTGGGCATGGTGGCAGGTGCCTGTAATCCCAGCTACTCAGGAGGCTGAGGCAGGAGGATCTCTTGAATCTGGGAGGTGGAGGTTGCAGTGAGCTGAGATTGCACCACTGCACTCCAGCCTGGGTGACAAGAGTGAGACTCCATCTCAAAAAAAACAAAAAACAAAAAACCAGAATAAATAGCTTTTCTTTTCTTTTTTCTTTTTGAGACGGAGTCTCACTCTGTTGCCCAGGCTGGAGTGCAGTGTCTCGATCTCACCTCACCACAACCTCCACCTCCCAAGTTCAAGTGATTCTCTTGCTTCAGCCTCCCGAGTAGCTGGGACTACAGGCGTGCGCCACCATGCCTGGCTAATTTTTGTATTTTTAGTAGAGATGAGGTTTCACTATGTTGGCCAGGCTGGTCTCGAGCTCCTGACCTCGTGATTCCCCCCGCATTGGCCTCCCAAAGTGCCGGGATTATAGGCGTGAGCCACCTCGCCTGGCCTAAATAGCTTTTCTAGGGTCACAGGGTTAGTTTGTGGAGCCACACGCATTCATGTGAACACATGTGTATTCACCTCTTAGCTTAAGAAATAAAACCTATTTAACATAATGGAACACTACTTATATGTTGGGCTGGAACATGAGATTGGTGTTTTTCTATGTCATAAATGCATAAACATTGGCAGTGTCATGTGGTTTAACCCAATATCTCTTTCCAAGTGTATCCTCCATTAATTCTCCAGGTAACAACTCTCATCATTCCCATGCATTTCTTTGAACTTGTACTTCACATGAATGTATACCTAACAATAAATATAATTGTTCCTCATGTTTTTACATTTCTTGATAGCATACTATTGGCATTTTGGCGATTTGCTTTTTGTCTTCAACTTATGTTATGAAATCTATTTATGTTGATATATTATTTATTTATTTATTTATTTATTTATTTATTTATTTATTGAGACAGAGTCTCGCTCTGTCACCCAGGTTGGAATGCAGTGGCGCGATCGGCTCACTGCAAGCTCTGCCTCCTGGGTTCATGCCATTCTCCTGCCTCAGCCTCCCGAATAGCTGGGACTACAGACACCCGCCACCACGTCCAGCTAATTTTTTGTATTTTTAGTAGAGACGGGGTTTCACCATGTTAGCCAGGATGGTCTCGATCTCCTGACCTCGTGATCCGACCACCTCAGCCTCCCAAAGTGTTGGGATTACAGGCGTGAGCCACCGCGCCTGGCTTATGTTGATATATTTTTAAAACGTATTGTGGTATACTCATACTCTGGCATACTATACAATAGTGAAAATACATGAACTAAAGCTAAACTACCTGCTTAGTATCCATTCATGGTATGAGTAAACTCTACCTACTGATGGACATTTTGGTTGTTTCCAGTATTTTCTTGTGATAAGCAATGCTTCTACAAATACATATGGCATACTTAAATGAGTATGTTAAAAGCATAAACTCCTATAAACAATGGCAGTTAATATGCTTTTTTTTTTGAGACCAGGTCTCGCTTGCAGTACAGTGGTGCGATCATGGCTCACCACAGCCTCGATCTCCCAGCCTTAATCGATCCTCCCACCTCAGCCTTCCAAGAAATTGGGACTACAGGCACGTGCCACCACCCTGACTGATTTTTTTTTTTTTTTTTTTTTTTTTCAGACAGAGTCTAGCTCTGTCGCCCAGGCCGGAGTGCAGTGGCGCGATCTCGGCTCACTGCAAGCTCCGCCTCCCAGGTTCACGCCATTCTCCTGCCTCAGCCTCCTACCGGCGCCTGCCACCACTCCCGGCTAATTTTTTGTATTTGTAGTAGAGACGGGGTTTCACCATGTTAGCCAGGATGGTCTCGATCTCCTGACCTCATGATCCGCCCGCCTCGGCCTCCCAAAGTGCTGGGATTACAAGCGTGAGCCACCCCGTCCGGCCCGGGCTGGTCTTAAACTCTTGGGCACAAGCAATCTGCCCACCTTAGCCTCTCCAAGTGCTGGGATTAGAGGCATGAGCCACCATTTCTGGCCCTACACTTTTAATTTAATGGATAAAAATGCAGAGCAAATCATCTTATTTTGCTTTATGAACAGATTTGATTGGATTTTATTTTATCCTTTCTGAAAATTTTCCAAGTGGTGCACACTAATTCTCATGAAAGATTCTCATTTGGTCTTACAGAAAAATATATTTCCTCTTAAGAGCGATTATAAGTGTTGATAGACAAAGCCAACAGTACTTTGTGGTTGAGCTGGAAAATGTTTACTCAGTTTGATGCCGTGGCCAATAAAATAAAACAAGAGGAAAATACCAGAAGTATGGGAACAGAGGGAGTCTTTAAAATTATAATATATTATAGCAAGTCACTTTAATGCAGCTTTGGTGAAACAGCTGCTTGCTGTAGAGAAAATCCATTTAGAAGGTTCTGTGAGCTTGCAGGCTGTGAATGCAAATGATGGAAGAGTTTGTACATCTGGGTTGTTGGTGGGAATATTTAACCTTTTTCACTGCTTACTCTTGGTGCTTCTTTTGCTACCTCCCCTTGATCCTTAATATGTGTGCCTCAGTTTGGATTATTAACAACCCTTCCAATGACCCTCAATGAATGGGTGAAGCTCTTGGCAGTAGTGGCTTTTTTTTCTTTTTGTTTATTTATTTATTTATTTTCCTTTTTTTCCTTTTTTTTTGAGACGGAGTCTTGCTCTGTCACCCAGGCTGGAGTGCAGTAGCATGATCTCGGCTGACTGCAACCGCTGCCTCCTGGGTTCAAGTGATTCTCCTGCCTCAGCCTCTCGAGTAGCTGGGTGACAGAAGCCCACCACCACACCCAGCTAATTTCTGTATTTTTAATAGAGACGGGGTTTCACCATGTTGGTCAGGCTAGTCTCGAACACCTGACCTCGTGATCCACCCGCCTTGGCCTCCCAAAGTGCTGGATTACAAGTGTGAGCCACTGCGCCTGGCCTTTTTGTTTTTTTAAAGAGACAGGATCTTGCTCTGTTGCCCAGGCTGGAGTGTAGTGGGCGCGATCATAGCTCACCGTAACCTTGAACTTCTGAGCTCCAGCAATCCTCCTGTCTCAGCCCCACAAAGTGCTGGGATTAGGTGTGAACCACTATGCCAGCCTGGTGTTGCTTTTTGTTTTTATTTTTTTGAGACAGTCTCTTGCTTTGTTGCCCAGGCTGGAGTGCAGCAGTGTGATCTTGGCTCACTGCAGCCTCTGCCCGCTGGGTTCCAGTGATTCTCATGCCTCAGCCTCCAGAGTAGCTGGGATTACAGGCACGTGCCACTATGCCTGGTGAATTTTTGTATTTTTTTGTAGAGACGGGGTTTTGCCACGTTGGCCAGGCTAGTCTTGAACTCCTAGCCTCAAGTGATCCGGCCACCTCAGCCTCCTAAATTGCTGGGATTACAGGCATGAGCCACCACGCACAGCCTATTTTGAGATATCCTATAAACTTTTTATAATGTTGACCAAAACATTTCGGTTTACAAAATCCATCCTTCTACTTCCTGCTGACAGGTTTGATGAAAAAAAAAAGTAAAAAAAAAAAAAACTAAATTCATCCTTCACTGTGTGTAAAAATATATGGCAATATGAGGTGTGGGTATAGATCTCCATCATTTTGTGTGTGAAAAAAGAAAAGATTTAGAAAGCATCAGCTTGTTATATCAACTAACCACCAGAATTTTTTTTTTTTTTTTTTTTCTGAGATGGAGTCTTGCTTTGTCGCCCAGGCTGGAGTGCAGTAGCGTGATCTCGGCTCACTGCAACCTCTGCCTTCCGGTTTAAGTGATTCTCCTGCCTCAGCCTCCCAAGTAGCTGGGATTACAGGTGTGCACCACCACACCCAGCTAGTTTTTGTATTTTTAGTAGAGACGGAGTTTCACCGTGTTGGCCAGGATGGTCTGAATCTCCTGACCTCCTGCCCACCTCAGCCTCCTGAAGTGTTGGGATTATAGGTGTGAGCCACCATGCCCAGACACCACCAGAATTTTTAATGCCTTTGGTCATCTGTGACAAATAAGAGTAAAATCAAACTTTTTTTTTTTTTTTTTTTTGAGATGGAGTCTCACTTTGTCGCACAGGCTGGAGTGCAGTGGCACGATCTCAGCTCAGTGCAGCCTCCACCTCCCAGGTTCATGTGATTCTCATGTCTCAGCCTCCCGAGTAGCTGGGATTACAGACACGCACCTCCAGGCCTGGCTAATTTTTGTATATTTAGTAGAGATGGGGATTCGCCATGTTGGCCAGGTTGGTCTCCAACTCCTGGCATCAAGTGATCCGCCCACCTTGGTCTCCCAAAGTGCTGGGATTACAGGTGTGAGCCATCACACCTGGCCAAAATCAAACATTTTTATTCCCGCTATTCAAGTCACATATATATCTTGCAAATTAATTTATTTCTATTTAATCTGATAGGTACTGTTTTGGTTTAAATTTTGTTAAATATGCAATGGCAAAATTAAAGTAAGATTAGATTAAAAATCACTTGTCAGCCTTTTGGCTAAGTTCAAGCATAGATTAGATAAAAAAGACAAAAATATATAGTTGACCTTCAAAGTTCTTCACATGTAAAGACCTCAAACTGTTTCAAAATTACCTTCTGCTACTCCCCTCGATAAACCCTCTATTCAGGGTAGACTTGTGTATTACTTGTTCTTAAAATATGTTACATCAGGCTTTTTTGTTTGCAAGGAAGAGATTCACTCAGATAATTTTAAGATAAAGGGGTTTATTATAAATACCCAGGACCCAGGCTTTGTTTTCTGGTGTCTTCTTAGGGGGTTGCTCTCTTCCTTTCTCCCTCTCATCAATTCTCTCTGTATTCTCTACTATAAATTCTGGAGGGAGATAGTCTGGACTAATTTCCATTGCCCCAGTAGGAAAAGTCCTTTGAGTAAGTCCACTCCATGGGTCAAGACGCAGGCTGTGGAGAAGCTGCCCTTGGGTCAGGCCCACTCTGTTCCAATCAGTGGCCACTTCTGCGTAAAGAATGAGTAGCACCACTGTCATGGGTAGGCAGTTCAGTTGGAAGGGGGGCACTTTCTGTGTGACCCTGGGATTGTCATATCCAGACCATGTCTGGAGCATCTCACCTCCCTGCATTTGCTGGCACCTCTCCTTTTTGACCATAGAGTGTTCTCCATGAATTTACACATGTTCTGAACTTAGCTGAAATCTTAAGGGGTTAGGCAAAGCCTGTCTCAAATGCCGCAGTCTCCTGACATCCTCCATGTATGATCATTATATGATCATTAATGATTAGTGAGTCATTACAGAGGACACATATTATGTATTACCCAATGTATTTCTTTGAAGGAAAATTTGTATTATTTTAATTATTTTTATGTACAGAAAACTCAACAGTGCACATTTAACCCAGTTTAGTGGCAAGTTCTTTAGCCTTTGCCTTTTCGAGCTTGGCAATGCGAGCCACAGACTTAGGACCCAGGATGTTGCCACCCCAGTGACGGCAGATCTCATCGTATCTGTCATTGTAATTGGTCCTGATAGCTTCCACCAGCTTAGCCAAAGCGCCTTTGTCTTCCGAGTTCACCTGTGTGAAGGCGACAGTGGTGCAGGTCTTCCTGTGGACGAGACGTCCCAGTCTTGCCTTCCTCTTGATAATGCACTAAGGGACCACCATTTTACGACATAGGGCAGGCAAGAAGACAGCCAGCTCGATGGGATCCACGTCGGGTGCAATCACCACCAGCTGAGCTTTCTTGTTCTCCACCAAGGTGGTGACGGTGTTAACTCCTGCTCAAAGGACAGGTGGTCTCTTGGTGGGGACGTCCCCTTTGCCAGCAGCTTTCTTCTCGGCCTGGGCCAACAGCCTTCTTCTCTTGCTTTGTCTCTGGTCTGTACTTGTGGGCCAGCTTAAGCAGCTGAGTAGCTGTTTGGCGGTCCAGGGCCTGGGTGAACTGGTTAATCGCAGGAGGCACTTTCAGCCGCTTATAGAGGATGGCTCTCTGCTGCTGCAACCTGATATAGCGGGGCCATTTCACAAAGCGGGTGAGGTCTCTTTTGGGCTGGATGTCCTGTCCAATGCCAAAATTCTTAGGCCTTTCCTCAAACAGGGGATTCACCACTTTCTTAGCCTCCTGCTTCTTCACGACAGCAGGGGCCGGAGCCACCTTCTTTCCCTTGGCCTTCTTTCCTTTCAGCATCTTGGGCTGCGGGAGGAGAGAGTTTTTTTAATTATTAATATTATATACTTCATCATCTCAAATACAGCATAAACTCTCTGAGGGCAGGAACCATATTTTATGTATTTTTATTTCCCTCAAAGTGTTTAGGGCATGGATTCTATGTAATAGATTACGGTTCGGTGCCTTCCTCCATCTTAAAAAAATCACATTTGCTTCTAAGGAAAATGTAATGTATACTTATTTGCAAGAAAATAATACTCTCATAAAGAAGTTGTTGTGCATGGAGGGTGCCCTTATACAATTATTATACTGTGGTAAAATGGAAAGTTCAGAAAGGACTCAAAAGGGATTTGAGGGAAAAATCCCCAAGTCTTAGATGAGCTGAAGCCTGAGGTTCTCAGCTTACTAGAAAATCCTTAAGTGTTAGAAGACTGGAAATAAAGGTAGCTGGGAGAAAGGCATCCTGAATAGGAAGATCAAAATGAAGGTTTAGCTAAAGTGGTACCTGATGACTAGTTTGTTAGAAATTCTTAGACGAAGAGGGCACAGGACACCATCTAAATCAGCAGGTCACATGGCTACCAGGGCCAAAGTTATGATTTGAGACCAAGGAGGTAGAGAAAGGCCTTGGAAAAAAAGAATTTTTTAACAGGCTGTAGGAGCACAAAAATAAGCATACTTATATTTATTAACTTAGAATTGAGTTTATTATGGGGAGGAGAAGATATAAGGACAATAGTGACCATTGATGGCTTTAAATCAGTGATTTAAAGATGGCCAGTGATTTCCCTCAGGGATATGTAGTATATATCCTCAAGTTCCTGTATATTCTAGTAAATCTGTGCCAGTGATCTCTGTGTTAGGGATCACAGTAGTTGGAATGGGAGAAGGTATGCTGCTAGAGAAGAAGGAAGAATAAGGGATGGGAAAGAACATGAAACAAAAGGTGGAAGACTTGAAGGCAAAACCTCTCTCTCTTTGCATCAGAGAAATGTGAAACTAAACCAAAACGAAATATCACCTTATATCTGTTAGGATGGCTACTATTAAAATAAAAACAAAACCAAAAACATACACACCAGAAAATAACCAGTGTTGGTGAGAATGTGGAGAAATTGGAACCCTTGTTGGTGGGATTGTAAAATGGAGCAACCACTGCCTTTTTGGAAGCAGCATTAGAGAGTTATCCAAGATGGTGATAGCAAAGGATTCACTGAGGAGCTCCCCAGGTACCAAAAGGATTAGATTTCATTTCTTCTATATGGTAGAGATAGCTTGCTATAGTGGACTACATAGTTTGTCATTGTGGAAAAAAGAGAATAAATAAGAGAAGACTGATTTAGACATTTTTGGAAATAAGAAAGGTGATAAAATATTAAATTAACTTCTACTTATAAGAAGGAATTAGTGGATTCTTTGTTTATTAAAATGACCACTAGTCAATAAAAATAATCTGTGCTTGATAATGTACTAATTTGTCTTCATGAAATATCAGGGCTCCAACCAATTAATCCTGAAGTCTACCTTGTTGATTTCTGAGCCGGATGACCGGATTTCTAGCAGAGTGAGGGGACTCACAGAAGGTCTTTCTTTCTAGTCAGGGGCCCCATTAACTTTTCTTTTCTTTTTTTTTTTTTTTTTTTTTGAGATGGAGTTTTGCTCTGTCGCCCAGGCTGGGGTGCAGTGGTGTGATCATGGCTCACTGCAACCTCTGCCTCCTGGGTTCAAGCAATTTCTCCGGCCTCAGCTTCCCAAGTAGCTGGGATTACATGTGCATGCCACCACGCCGGCTAATTTTTGTATTTTCAGTACAGATAGTGTTTTACCATATTGACCAGGCTGGTCTCGAACTCCTGGACTAAGCGATCCACCCACCTCGGCCTCCCAAAGTGCTGGGATTACAGGCGTGAGCCATCACACCCTGCCCAACTGTTCCTTTCTTAAGGGGCTTCAAAGGTGGGGAGAAATAAAAAGTAGCTTTTCTTCTGGGAAATGTTACATGAGGACTAATTCAGTAAAATATAATGTCCCTGTATCATTCAATCTTACAGAGTATTTGAGCAGTCTTTCTAGCTCCCAGTTTTAAAGAGGGTTTTGATAAATTTGAGCACTTGTCTAAGAAAGACAGTGCTCAAAGGATATGGGAAGAATTGTGAAAATATCTGCATCTCTTTATTTGAAGAAAAATTCTATTGACAAGAGGAGTTAAGTTTATTTCATGTGGCTTCAGAAGGCAGAAGTTGGATTACTGGGTGGAGGCAGCAGGAAGTAGATATCTCCTTAAAATAAGAACTTTCTAACATATGAGAGTGGAATTGGACACCTTGTGAAGCAGGGAGGACCCTGTGCTTGGAGTCTTTAAGCAGAAGCTGGTGAGCCACCTGTCTGGAATATTGTAGAGGAGATTCCCACAGTAGGAGAGGATTGCCCAGATGACCTCAAAGTTTTCTTGAGTCTGAAGGAGCAAGGTAAAGCTGTAGATTTTTGAGCAGCATATATAGGGGTACATATTCGTAAAAAGGTTTCACCTTTTTCTAGGAGCATCTTAGGAACCAAGATCACAAATGTTGGAAAATCAAGGTGGAGGTAAAGAAAGCCTCTTACTTCTTCTTCTTCTTCTTTTTTTTTTTTTTTTTTTTTTTTCTTGAGACAGGGTCTGGCTCTGTTGCCCAGGCTGGAGTGCTGTGGCGCGATCTTAGCTCACTGCAAGCTCCGCCTCCCGGGTTCACACCATTCTCCTGCTTCAGCCTCCTGAGTAGCTGGGACTACAGGCACCCGCCACCACGCCCAGTTAATTTTTTTTTGTATTTTTAGTAGAGACGGGGTTTCACCGTGTTAGCCAGGGTGGTCTCCATCTCCTAGACTTGTGATCCGCCCACCTCGGCCTCCCAAAGTGCTGGGATTACAGGCGTGAGCCACCGCGCCCAGCCTAGCCTCTTACTTCTAAAGCAGCCTATACTTTGTTAGATAAAAGAAGTAAAAATATTAAAATCTACTTGGATAGAATTCCCACATCTTTATGAGTAACAGAAATAAAGGGAATATATGTATATTGGTTCTTTAAAAGACAAGTTCCTAATAACATTACAGATAGATTGTATGTTAGTAGATGCTGGTAACTACTTTTACAGAACATAAACCACATTTTATTTTGTTCTTCAACACATCCTTTCTTTTTTTTTTTTTTTTTTTTTTTTTGAGACGGAGTTTTGCTCTTGTTGCCCAGGCTGGAGTGCAATGGTGCAATCTCGGCTCACTGCAACCTCCGCCTCCTGGGTTCAAGTGATTTTCCTGCCTCAGCCTCCCGAGTAGCTGGGATTACAGGCATGCGCCACCACACCTGGGTAATTTTGTGTTTTTAATAGAGACAGGGTTACTCCATGTTGGTCAGGCTGGTCTCGAACTCCTGACCTCAGGCTATCCGCCCACCTCAGCCTCCCAAAGTGCTGGGATTACAGGTGTGAACCACCGTGCCCTGCGACAACACATCCTTATATTTAGTTCCTTTTTTAGTAGGCACTGATGTAAATTTTGCATCAGGCAGGATATCAGAATTGGACCTAGTGACAACTAAACATTTGAAGGATTTGAAAGCATTCTTACTGTACAAGTAGTATTGCCATGGAATTTGAATCCTTTTAGTATTAAAGAGGATCCACAGTCTACAATGATCAGCATTGTTGATAACTATAAAATGGTTACTAGGGAAGGATGGTTGTCATTTTAGGTGCTTGGTGTTTACTGTGGGTCTCATAAAAATAAATATTTTATATAACTATAGCAGAAAAATATTTTGTCAGATACAAGGTTTATGAGAAACTAATTTCATCTGATACAAGGTATGTAAGAAATACAGAGATGCTACACATTCTATAATTTTCCATCTTCCCTGCTTAGTTGAGTTACTTCTATTTTAGAAACATGGAGAAACATAGACCCCAAAGAAAGGAGAAGGATAGAAAAATTTTGCCCTATTATAAAGGAAGATGTGAATTTTATTTGCATGGTGTGCTATTTCTTTTATTGTTGTTTTATTATAAAGCTGAAACATGCTTATTATAGCATCTTTTGGAAATGAGTGCATTATTTTTAAACCTCCCATCTGCTACCTCAAAACTACATTTCTTTTTTCTTTTTTGGATAATATAAACTTACAATTCCTTTCGATCCAAAATTTTAAAATAAAACCAGAAGAATGTGGTTTACTTCAAGGAGAACCTCAATTTATACTATTAAAAACTTATAGGTATTAAAAATGCAAGAAAAACTTAAAATTAAATTTTTAGATCTTGTGATGCCGTTTGTTAAATCATTTTGTCAAAGAAATTAAAACAAATTGTAAATAAGTAAAGGTTTTTAAAAGCGCTGACTTGACCATTATTAGATTGCTACATGCACCTATGTATGTAACAGAATTGCACATGTACCCCATAAATTTGCACTAATAAAAAAAAGGCAAATCTAAATGTGTTTCTTTAAGAAATTAAGGTTTTAATGTGAAATTAGTTATATGAAAGACCAGAATAATATTTATATTTTTCAGAGAATTTAATGATACTAAGGCATATTAGTTATCAAATAATAATTTAGAAAAGTAGTAATAAGAGAAGTAGATTTTATCATTGTTATTTACTCTGAAAACCCCTGTTAATAATTTTGTCTCATTATGTCATTACATACTAACAATTAGATAGGAATTATTTTATATTTTGGTTTATCATATTACTGAATAACCAAATGATAGAAACTTAAAGACTGAAATGTACTAAGAGATGATTTTGTTATATACTGTCTTTTATAAATGAGAAAACTAAAGCTCAGATAGAAATAAAATAATTTTCTTTTCTTTTTTTTTTTTTTTTTGAGACAGGGTCTTACTCTGTCGCCCAGGCTGGAATGCAGTGGTGCAATCTGGACTCACTGCAACCTTTGCTTCCAAGGTTCAAATGATTCTCCCACCTCAACCTCCCGAGTAGCTGGGACAACAGGCACGTGCCACCACACTTGGCTATTTTTTTTGGTAGAGATGGGGTTTCACCATGTTGTCCAGGATCTGGAACTCCTGAACTCAAGTGATCTGCCTGCCTCGGCCTCCCAAAGTGCTGGGATTACAGGCGTGAGCCACTGTGCCCAGCCAATAATTTTCTCCATTGAGTAACAAGCAGCTCCTCAGCACCCCATAATCACATTTTATTTGGTTTATAGAGTAACTAATTGTTGACTTTACCCCAATCCAGTGTGTCAGAAGACATTTTACAATGCAAACACAGAACTCTGAAGTGCTTTTGTGACAAAATGTGAATTTCAATTTAAGATAAGCTATAAAAGATTATGAAAATCCTTTGGAAAGTTTTCATGCAGTTAATAGTTTATTTGCATGGATTTCTAACTTGGATGTCTTATAAAATTTGTTGATGTGTATTAAGATTTTATTTGTAAGGATTTGATGTCCTTAAAGTAGTATTTTGATAGACAAGTCTTCTTGCTTGGAAGAAGAATCAGATCATTTGTTGGGAGATAGTTGATTAAGTGATTGATAGAAGCAGAGTATGTAGTTATCTTATTTGTTTATTGCTTTGTCTATTCCTAGCTAATAAAGCGAAATAATCCCATGACCAATACTCCTGGAAAAGCAATTTAGGTATGATTAAGTCAAAAAGGTCTAGTTTGTTTGTAGCAAAGTACAATATATAAGCCTAAATTTATGCTTAGTGATTTTCAGGCATCAAGTTTAATTTCTTTCATCTATATGAGTTTGTTGCTCTGTTTTATTTTTTGAGCCAAGGGAGGTACTGAATGCAGAGATAAAGAAGCACTTTCTTCTGCCATTCCCCCTTCTCTCCCTTCTCCCCAAACTATTTTAACAGGGAATCAGTATTAAGTGCTTTCATCAAAGAGTAAACTTGCTGCCAGGAGTCTCATTTGCCTGCCAACATAAAAGTTTGGCTATAGATTTTTGATTTTAGGGTAACACCGCTTTTTCCAGGAGGAGGCAGTGACAGAAATGGACTCTAGGCAACTGTGAGCGTAATAGAATAGAATGAGCCTGGGCTATGGAGTCAGAAAATAACTAGATTTGTCTCCTAGTCCAAAGATGATAACATGTTTGTTATGAAAATCAAATGAGGTAATGAATGTCAAGCAACAATAGCAGTATCTGGTACATGCTGCATAATTTTTAATTTTCTCTCTCTCCCCTACAAATCTAATTTGACTTCTTTTGGATTCCTTTGGAGACTAAACTTTGCAATAATAGAAGTAGGGACAGAGAGCACTGGACAATCCCAGAAGCCATCTTATCTGTGGATGTTATTTTCCAATAAATGTAGAAGAGAGATTGAGATTACCACTCTCCACTGTGCCCCATCCCTAACACCCACTCTAACTTCAGTGTAAATCCAGTTAAACTAGATTCCTGGGATATTCATGTTTGGATATATTACTCAGAGACTTGACATGATGATAACTAGCCCTTCGTTCCAGGGAAAGGTAACCCAAGAGTGGCCCCAGTTGCTCACAGAGTCTCAGTGCTCAGGTAAAGTGTATAAATATTTCTCTCAATGAAAGATGAACAAGACCTACAGACCCTAAAGTTAGATAAATGTCAAGATCCAGGTACAGGATTAGAAAGGAGAACTAGATTAAATTTTTTTTATTTTCCGAGATGGAGTCTCGCTCTGTCCCTCAGGCTGGAGTACAGTGGTGCGATCTCGGCCCACTGCAACCTCTGCCTCCTGGGTTCAAGTGATTCTCCTGCCTCAGCCTCCTGAGCAGCTGGGATTACAGGTGCCTGCCACCACACCTGGCTAATTTTTGTTTTTTTAGTAGAGATGGGGTTTCACAATGTTGGCCAGGCTGGTCTCAAGCTCCTGACCTCGTGATCCACCTGCCTCAGCCTCCCAAAGTGCTGGGATTACAGGCGTGAGCCACTGTGCCCAGCATTTTTTTTTTTTTTTGAGACAGGTTGTCACTCTGTTGCCCAGGCTGGAGTGCAGTGGTGTGATCATGGCTCACTGCATCCTCAACCTCCCCAGCTCAGGTGATCCTTGCATCTCAGACTCTGGGAGTAGCTGGGACTATAGGTGTACACCACCATGCCCAGCTAATTTTTGTATTTTTTGTAGAGATGGAGTTTCACTATGTTGGCCAGGCTGGTCTCCAACTCCTGGACTCAAGTGGTCCACCTGCCTCAGCCTCCCAAAGTTCTGGAATTGCAAGCATGAGCCACAGCACCTGGCTGAGATGAATTTTTAAAAAAATTGTGATAAAATATACATATCGTGGTTGAGTGTGGTGGCTCACACCTGTAACCCTAGCACTTTGGGAGGCTAGGTGGGCAAATCACCTGAGGTTGGGAGTTCAAGATCAGCCTGACCAACATGGAGAAACTCCATCTCTACTAAAAATACAGAACTAGCCAGATGTGGTGGTGCATGCCTGTAATCCCAGCTACTCGGGAGGCTGAGGCAGGAGAATTGCTTGAAGTCAGGAGGTGGAGGTTACGGTGAACCGAGATTGTGTCATTGCACTCCAGCTTGGGCAACATGAGCGAAACTCCGTCTCAAAAAAAAATATCTATATATCTATATATCTATCTATATATATACACACACACACACATACATATCATAAAACTTACCTTTTTAACTATTAAATTTTTTTTAACTTAAATAGAGACGGGTTCTCACCATGTTGTTCAGGCTGGTCTCGAACTTCTGGCCTCAAGCAATCCTCTCACTTTGGCCTCCCAAAGTTCTAGGACTACAGACATGAGCCACCATGTCTGGCCACCTTCTTTTTTTTTTTTTTTTCTTTTCTTTTTTAAAATAAAAACTTTATTTCAAATAGGTACAGTGGTATGTGTGATACAACAAAGGCCTGTTGTAACAAGCAGTTTCATTTCAAAGCTCATTGAAGTACAAATCTGAAAGTGTTTAACAATGATCAATGTCTGCTAAAATGTATATTAAATTGATCAACATACCATTTTTGACATTATTATATATCCAACTCTTTAAGTAGAAGAAGTTAAATTTTCATCACAAAAAGTGAGGATCACCTGACAGTTTCTACAAAGGTAATGAGCTGTGAAATGTATTCCCTCATTTGGCTTTGAAAATATACCCTCAGGTTACTAAGAGAAATTCTGAGTTTGCCCAACTGTGTTATTTAACTGTAATTCTTCACTTGTCATCTACTGTTGGCTTCATGGCCACTCCTCTTCTATCTGATCCCAACGAATTAAATGCTAATGTTTCTCAGCTCTTTGGCTAAGGGCAATTTTTTTCTCCTACTTTTGTGCACACAGGATTAGTGAGAACTATTTTACCCAAATCATCTTTGACTGCACTCTCTTCTTCCTGTAGACAGAGATCGTATGTTTACTATAAGAACTTTGCTCATGGACAGCTTTTGTACTTTTTCTGTTTTTTTGCCTTCTTCTATACATACACCTAGAGCTGTCTAAGCAGTAAATAGGACATTTCTGGTCCTGTGACGATCTTAGGTACAGCTCCAACTGCACCAAGCACCTGCCCGGCCATTCTATGAATGTTGGGTAAATTTTTGTTCCAACTCCCGTAAGACTCCCTGGAGCAGTGTACTGAGGATCATTGTATTCTGCAAAAAGTGATACAAGTTTGGAAATGATTGTTTTACACATGAGTTTTCCTTCACTATTTTTGGGAACAATACCAAGTCTGACTCCTGTCTCCTGGACCACCTTTAATACACCTTTTTAAATACTGCCACCAGTTGTTCTCCCTGGTAATATCATCAATATCACAGCCAGGTTCGTTAACATCAAACGACCTAATAACAATAAGTTGGGGTTCTGAAGTAAAGTCTCTTGGAGGTACTGAAATTTTCCTTGCTATATACTCACGGACAACTTCAAGATTGTATTTCAGCTTAGCAGAAATGAAAATAATAGGAGGCTCTTCTGCTACTCTACTTTATATTAATACAATGAAAGGATCTGTTCATACTGTTCTTTAGCCTTACTTTCTTTTACCAAATTAATTTTATTTTACAGAATGAAAGTATGTTTCAGCTTCATAATATCTATGGCAGCCAGGTGTTCAGAGGAGTCTGAGGTTGAGGACAAGATTCTTTGCCGGCTATCAACAGAAAGGTCACATCCATCACTGCTATACCGTTCATCAAAGTAGCCATCAAAATATCATGGCAGGACAGTCAACCAAGGAAACATGTCTGACTAGTTCAAAGTTTCTTTTGGTCCCTGGAATATTTATAGGAAACTCATCAAGGTGTACTACTTCCACAGAATCTGTAATATTCTGGCCGAGGAAACTTGAGTCATCGAGTTTATAATCTTGGCATTTAATGTGTCCAAACTTGATAGTAATATTTCTTTACAGTTCATTTTTGAACCTGACATGTGAATGACAGAAATAGTTTTTACAATTATGGATTTTCTTTTTTTTTTGAGACAGAGTTTCTCTTTTGTTGCCCAGGAGTGCAATGGCATGATGTCAGCTCACTGCAACCTCCGCCTCCCGGGTTCAAGCGATTCTCCTGCCTCAGCCTCCTGAGTAGCTGGAATAACAGGCATGCACCACCACCCCGGCTAATTTTGTACTTTTAGTAGAGATGGGGTTTCTCCATGTTGGCAAGGCTGGTCTTGAACTCCCAACCTCAGGTGATCCTCCCGCCTCGGCCTCCCAAAGTGCTGGGATTACAGGCATGAGCCACCGCGCCTGGCCACAGTTATGGATTTTCTATGAGCAACATGATCAATTGTACCTGTATTAGTTGTGGCTCATCTGCTTGATAACTTTGTGTAAAAGTAGAGTCCACTCAGTAACATCCTCATGCATAGCATGGTTTCTTTAGCCCCACTGGTGTAGCACAAGGGTGTGGTAGTGCCAGGACTGGCCATCTATCTTACTCAGGTTGGTACCATTGTCTTGGCTTGTCCATGGTAGGTCTGATGGTGCCTAGAGCCCCTGGCGTGGAGCTCATTTTAACCATTTTAAAGTGTACAGTTCAGTGGCATTAAGTACATTCACAGTGTTGTGCAACCATTACCACTATCTGTCTCCAGATCTTTTTTCATCTTGCAAAACTGAAATTCCATACCCATTAAAAAATAATTCCCTATCCCCCAGTCCCTGGCAACCACCATTTGCTTTCTGTCTGTATGAGTTTGACTACTTTAGGTACCTCATGTAAATGGAGTCACACTATTTGTCCTTTTGTGACTGGCTTATTTTGCTTAGTATAACGTCTTCAAGATTCATCCACAATGTAGCAGGTGTTAGAATTTCCTTCCTTTGTAAAGCTAAATAACGTTCCATTGTATGTATGTACCATATTTTGTTTTATCTTTTTGCCCATTGAAGGACACTTGGGTTGCTTCAATGGGCAAATGGCTATTGTGAATAATGCTGCATGAACATGGGTACACAGACACCTGTTCGAGTGCCTGCTTCCGATTCTTTCTGGTATGTGCCCATAAATGGAATGGCTGGATCATATTGTAATTCCATTTTTAATTTTTGAGGAACCTCTGTACTGTTTTCTAGGGTAGTGGCACCATTTTATATTTCTACCAGCAGTTTACAAGAGTTCCAACTTTACGTCCTCTCCAACATTTTTTCCTTTCTTTTAAAATTTTTATTTATTTATTTTTATTTTTATTTTTATTTTTTTGAGATGAAGTCTCGCTGTGTCACCCCGGCTGGAGTGCAGTGGCAGGATCTTGACTCACTGCAACCTCCGCTTCCTGTATTCAAGCGATTCTCCTGCCTCAGCCTCTCTAGTAGCTGGGATTACAGGCGCACACCACCATTTCTGGCTAACTTTTGTATTTTTAGTAGAGACAGGGTTTTGCCATGTTGGCCAGGCTGGTCTTGTAACTCTTGCCTTCAGGTGATCCGCCCGCCTCAGCCTTCCAAAGTGCTGGGATTACAGGAGTGAGCCACCGCGCCCAGCCCACCTCTTTTTTTTTTTTTTTTTTTGTAAATAATGACTAAAATGTGTAAAGCAGTAGATTAATCCTTAATAACATGAATTCTGATATACAACACATAACCTGTCTCAGTTCCTAGCCTAGGATTCACTCACATAGAAGGTTCTTGTTGAAAGAATGAACAAGAATCCACACACCACATGTAAAATTAACTACCTATAGAAAATAATCTAGGAAGCAATATAACACAGCTTATTCATCCATCCATTCATTGGGTCAATGAAATGGAGTATATGCCATGCACGATGTTAATTATTAGGAGTTCAAATTTCGGCAAAATGTGGAGTCACGACAAATGTCGTTCCTTCTCTCCAAGAGTTCATATTCTGGCCTCTCTCAAGGGAAGAAGGCTGAGTCAGCAGGATATGATAGGCCAATTAAAGTATCCTTTAAAAACACCTAACCCTTCCACTCTTCAGACTACATTTTTTCAACCCACATTATGATTAGCAATGCTACTGTATTCTAGTTTTGCCTATATGCATTTTCTTTTACCAATTAGTATATATACTAGTATAGTGAGATATAGTACAAATCTAGCGTGTGTGTGTATGTGTGTGTGTATGATATATTTATACCTCACAGGAATTTACTTCATATGATTCAGGCCCTCTGGAGTTCTGGGAGTGAAATAAGTCCTAATAGCTGTAAGGTATTCATTGCATGTAATGAATTAACTTCTCTCTGCGTCTAGAATGGTACCAGTTATTTGCCAGCGTTGGGAGAATTGAGAAATAGTCACTCAATTTTTTGTGCTCTGTGTTCAAATTAAGAACCCCTTTTGAGAAAGTCAGCCTCACTGGCTTTTCTTTTCTTTTTTGAGATGGAGTTTCGCTCTTGTTCCCCAGGCTGGAGTGCAGGCGCAATCTTGGCTGACTGCAACCTCCGCATCCCAGGTTCAAGCGATTCTCCTGTCTCAGCCTCCCGAGTAGCTGGGATTACAGGTGCCCGCCAATGCAGCGAGCTAATTTTTTGTATTTTTAGTAGAGACGGGTTTCACCATGTTGGCCAGGGTGGTCTCGAACTCCTGACCTCAGGTAATCCACCCACCCCGACCTCCCAAAGTGCTGGGATCACAGACAGGAGCCACTGCACCCGGCTGGCTTTTCATTTTTAAATGAAGTAATAAAATTGAGCTTCTGAACCTGCAAAGCTGAGAGCTATTCATTGCACTATGGTAATGACAGAATTATGTAGGACACCAAGGTAGTCAGTTAACTCTATAGTGACATTACTGCTTCTGCCTTCTGTGTGAATTCAGAATGAGGAGGGCATACATTGACAACTGAATCATAGTCTGATTTCCTTCCTATAGAGGTGGGGAGAATGGGCTTATTTTTTGTGTGTGGGATTTATGTGTCTTAAATGCAAATTGTTCCTCAATAGTCAACAAAATGCTGTAAAAATCATGATATCATTTTGTTCATTATAGCAAAGCCATGCACTGAACTGCCTTCCTGAAGATAAATGTATACACAGTGCTTTGCTCCTGAGGATCTGCATTACTCTTTGTACTTACTTAACAACTATTTATTGAGATCCTACCATGTCCTTATTACTGTGCTTTGTCCTGATAATACAAAGGTGAACTGATCCTGTGGTCTAGTGGTGGTGGGAGACAAGTGAATAGGCAATTATAATTGACAGAGAAGGCACAGGATGCTGTGGTTACACAAAAAGAGACCCCTAACTTAGGCTAAGGGGATTAGGGCAAGGCTTCCTGGAGGAGCTGATAACTAAGTTAAAACCTGTGAATTGAATGGGAGTCAGCTAAGTAAAGAAAAAGAAAAGTCTTTCTTGGAAAAAACAGTACATAGAGAGTTCTAGCATGGGTAAGCATGCAAAATTAGGAAAATAAAAAAAGATGAGTGTGGTTTGAGATCAGATTGTGAGGGTAAGAGATGAAGCAGAGAGATAGCAGGTGCACTCTCAACTAGGATGTTATAAACCCTCTTCAGGACTCTATTTTGAGAGCAATGAAGATCCATTAAAGCAGTTGAAGAAAGGTGTATCATAATGAAATTTATGTTCTGGAAAGATAACTCTAGCTACGGTACAGAGTATGATTAAGGGGAGGGTGAGGTGAAGGTCTGGTAGACCATTCATGATTTTTTTTTTTTGCAGTAATTCAGTAATGAGAAAAATTTATAAATTTGTGTGATATTTTCCAGGATCTGGTGACTTTTGTTGTTATAGGATGTGGGGGAAAAGGGTCACTTCCTGGTTTCCGGTTTGGCTACTAGGTGAGATGGAGAAACAGGAGGAGTGGCAGGTTTCTTGAGGAAGATGACAAGTTCAATTTTAGGTGGTTTAGATTTGAGGTATTTGTGCAACAACTGAGGAGGCTTGCAGGGTGGAAAGTTTAGAGGGAGATTGGAGGACACTGTTGTTCATATTTGAATTGCTGCTCTTCTTGCCAATCCTCCTTTAGGATGCCACTGTGGAATTAAGAATTAATGAATTAGAGATATTTCCTGTGGAATTGGATCCAAAAAGTACAAAAGGAAGGAGCATGCAGCTTGCTGCTTCTTGGGAGCATAACCGGCTGAGGGTGCACTGTTTTATCATTTTCCACCAGCAGCATAATGCTTGCTCCTTCCCATTCATTTCAATATATGTATTTATATTTTAAATATGCAAATTTACATGTTCACAGATAAAGTCCTTGATGTATCTGTTGATGTGCTTATCTCTGGGAAGTGGGATTAGGTGGAGGAGAGGGGCATTATTCCTTTATATAACCTTATATTGCTATGCTGTTTTTGCACAAAGCAACTTACTTTTATGAAAAAATTAAAATTATTAAGTAAATAATTGAGTAGAAATTTTGAGTAAATTGGGTTGAAAAAATACTTGAAGTGACAGGCAATGTAGACTTTTTTTGAAGAGCAATATAGACAACATAGGAGTTAAAACAAAAACAAAAACAAAAACGATACGCCTCAAACTATATGGGGCAATCTTCCTGCCCATGATTCCTCCCGAGGTGATATGTTAGGAATCGTGTGCAAATGATTTTTGTCATCCAGTTGCTACTTCTTATTTATTCTTCTGTAGCAAGCATCCAACATTACATCTCTTATCAAGACTGATGCTCAACTGGTACTCACTGGTAGGCTGCAGTGGTTATTTATAGCCTGTGTCTGTTCTGATTGGTCTGATTACTGGCTGTTGTTATAACTGCTGCTTTTAGTGATTTATATTCTCTGACACCACTGATTTAGGAAGACTGTCTCGACATCTGCCTCTTCCTTGATCTCCTTTCAAGTTTCTCCAGTATTCCCTCGAGAATATCTATCATAGTAGTAGTTATATAGTAGTAGTTATCTATATAGCATCTATAGTAGCCTGAATAATGGTCCTCAAGGTATCAGGTCCTAATTCCAGGAACCCTTAAATGTTACCTTACTTGGAAAAGGGTCTTCGCAAATGTGATTAAGGATCTTGATATGGCAAGATTATATTGGATTATCCAGATGGGCCCTAAAAGCCTACTTTATAAGCGATAGGCAAGTGCCTTTATAGGAGGCAGGCAGAAGGGCAGTTTGACACAAGCACAGAAGAGAAGGCTAGGGAAAGGAGGAGTAGATCGTGATTTGAAAATGGAAGCCTTGAAGACTGGAGTAATGGATGCGGTCACAAGTCAAAGAATGTTGGCTGCCACCGGAAGCTGGAAGAGGCAGGAGCAGATTCTCCCTCTAGAGCTTCTGGAGGGAGCACAATCCTGTCGACATCTTGATCTCAACCCTGTGAAACTGATTTCAGAATTTCTACGTGCAGAATTGTGAGAGAATAAATATCTCGAATATTGCATGGAACATACATACACTAAAAAATATACTATTGTTTATCTAAATTCAAATTCAACAAGGCAGGCCTCTTGTATTTTATTTGGTAACCATATATAGAGACTATGTCTTAATCTCTGTATTGTTTAGCATGTTTGATCAGTGGATGTTTGTTGAATAAATAAATAAAATGACAATTTTGCAAAGAGTTAAAAAGTATTTTTAATATTTAAATTTCCAAATAGTATAATAGACAGAGAATAATATAATGAAGCCCTTTATAGCCAAATAGTGTAATAGAGAGAATAGTATAATGAAGCCCCTTATATACATTGCAGCTTTTATAATCATTGATGTATGACCAATCTCACGGTTTTTTTTTTTTTTCTTTTTTTGAGATGGAGTCTCGCTCTGTCACCCAGGCTGGAGGGCAGTGGCGCGATCTCGGCTCACTGCAACCTCCGCCTCCTGGGTTCACACCATTCTCCTGCCTCAGCCTCCCAAGTAGCTGGAACTACAGGCGCCTGCCACCATGCCTGGCTAATTTTTTTTGTATTTTTAGTAGAGACGGGGTTTCACCGTGTTAGCTAGGATGGTCTCGATCTCCTGACCTTGTGATCTGCGCACCTCGGCCTCCCAAAGTGCTGGGATTACAGGCGTGAGCCACCGTGCCCGGCCAATCTCACAGTTTTTAAAACAATACTTTATTCAAGAGAAGCAGCTCTGATGGTATAGTTGTTTGATTTTCTATTTATGAGCATATGAATGAGTGTATGAAGGGACAGGGCTATGGTGGCATTAGCACTGCATTTCAAGAAGCTACCTCCTTGGACAAAAATTGAGGAAATTGAGAGTGATGAGCATTTGCATATAGATAACATGAGAACAAAACACAATGTAACTCATTGAGGGAGCTTGTTATAGAATGCCAGAAGATATCGAGGACTTGGATGATATTTTCTAAATATAAATTGTAACATGTGAGGTGGGAGGATTGCTTGAAGCCAAGAATTCAAGACCCATATAGAGGACATGGATGATATTTTCCAAATATAAATGCAAATATAAACTGGAACATGTGAGGCAGGAGATTGCTTGAGGCCAGGAGTTCAAGACTCATCTCGGCAACACAGCAAGACCCTGTCTCTACAACAACAACAAACAAAAAACTAGCCAGGCATGGTGGCACACGCACCTGTAATACTAGATACTCTGGAGGCTGAGGCGGGAGGATTGCTTGAGCCCTGGAGTTCAAGGCTGTCGTGAGCCATGATTGTGCCACTGCACTCTAGCCTGGCTGATGAATTGTGACCCCTTCTCAAAAAAAGAAACAAAATTGCAACCTGGACACAAAAATTGTGCCTCACAGAGTGGTGAAGAACCAATAAGAACAGTTAATCAGAACTTTATTCTGAACACCCAGGAAGAATAGGTTGGAGATGTAGAAGTGACTAGCACTGAGGAAGGATGTGACCAGATCATCCCTGAATGCGAAGTAGCCACGGAAAGGAGGGCTGGGCTGAGTCAGACCACTGTTTGTAGGAAAATTAGGCCTCAAAAAGTCAAATGAAAGACACGTATAATTGCATCATGAGGATGTTGAAAGACAAGCAGGTGCCAGAGAAATGGGAAATTCTTTAAAAAAATGAAATTTTAAAACTTAAGCTTCATACATTTTTATGAAATGAGAGGAAACCAGAAGTATTTGCGGCAGTTGTTATTGGTTGCCTACCTTTGTACCAGGTAACATGAACCAAAATGGGCCAGGCCAACAAGTCAGTCAACAGATCATTTTTTGTGCTCGCTATGCACCAGGCACTGATCTAGGCACTGTCGTAAATAAGCTAGACAAGGGTTCATTTTTTCAAGAGCCAATGTTCCTGGGGTGGTGTAAAACAAGGGTGTAGGGACTGTGACAAAGCAGATAGGCATGCAGATTTTTTTTTTTTTTTTTTTTTAAGACCGAGTCTCACTCTGTTGCCCAGGCTGGAGTGCAATGGGGTGATCTTGGCTCACTGCAACCTCTGCCTCCCGGGTTCAAGCGATTCTCCTGCCTCAGCCTCCTGAGTAGCTGGGATTACAGGCGCATGCCACCACGCCTGGCTAATTTTTGTATTTTTAGTAGAGACAGTGTTTCACTATGTTGGTCAGGCTCGAACTCCTGACCTCGTGATCCACCTGCCTTGGCCTCCCAAAGTGCTGGTATTACAGGCATGAGCCACTGCGCCCGGCCACATGCAGACTTTTGTATCTTCATTTTAAAATTTTTAAGCCTTTAATTATTATGAGTACAAAATAGGTGTATATATTTATGGGGTAGATGTGATATTTTGATACAGGCATACAATGTGTAATAATCACATCAGAGTAACCAGGGTATTCATTATCACAAGCATTCATCATTTGTTTGTGTTAGAAACATTCCAACATTCCTCTCTTTTAGTTATTTAAAAATATACCATAAATTATTGTTGATTATAGTAACCCTATTGTGTTATCAAAACTAGATCTTATTCTCTCTAAATATATTTTTGCACCCATTAACCATCGCCACATTTCTCCCCCTCACACTACCCTTCCTAGCCTCTGGTAATGATCATTCTACTCTCCACTGAATTGTTTTAATTTTTACCTCCCACGTATGAATGAGAACATGTGAAATTTGTCTTTCTGTGCCTGGTTCATTTTACTTAACATAATGTTCTCCAGTTCCATCCATGTTGTTGCAAATGACAGCATTTCATTCTTCTTATGCTGGAATGCTACTCCACTGTGTGTATATATACTACATTTTCTTTATCCATTCATCCACTGATGAATACTTAGGTTGATTCCAAATCTTGGCTATTGTGAACAGTGCTGTAATAAACATGGGAGTGCAGATATCTCTACAATATACTGATTTCAGGCCAGGTGTGGTGCCCATGCCTGTAATCCCAGCGCTTTGGGAGGCTGAGGCAGGAGGATTGCTTGATCTCAGGAGTTTGAGACCAGCCTGGGAAACATGGCAAGACCCAGTCTCTACAAAAAATAAAAAAAATAGCCAGGTTGGTGGTGCATGCCTGTAGTCCCAGCTACTTGGGGAGGCTGAGGTGGGAGGATTACTTGGGCCCAGGGAGGCTGAGGTTGCAGTGAGCCGTGATGACGCCACTGTACTCCAGCCTAGGTGACAGAGTGAGACCTTGTTTCAAAAAAGAAAAAAATGAAAAAATATATACACTGATTTCCTTTCTTCTGGATGTATACTCAGCAGTGAGGTTGCTGGGTCTTATGGCAGTTCCATTTTTAGTCTTTTGAGGAATCCTCTTTTCTTTGTTTAAGAGTGTGCTGGGAACACAAAATGAGTCTTCAGGGGAATAATCTGGGCCTTGGGTGGCCCATTTCCAACTCTCTTCTATCGGATAAAGCTGGTGTTTATTAGCATGGCTTCCAAGGCCCTCTCTGATGGAGTGCTCTTTTAACTACCTCTGCATCCTCATGTCCTGCTGCTCCATACATCTCAATTAAGCAGTGTAGAACTGTTTCTAGTCTCTAGGCACACTGTGCTGTGCTGCAACTCTGTTCCTGTCATTCTTTTGTAGGGGCCTTCCTGTTTCCTATCACGGTTGCTATTAAAATACCTGAAACTCATTAAGTGTCAGTTGAATTGAACTGAATAAGATTTCATATTGTTTTTAAGGAACTAAAAATCTGCTTGAGGAGACAAACATGTATGCAGATACCGTCACAGAAGTGCATTTAAGTCTCATAATGAGTTCACAGTTTCAGGTTGTAAGGAAGAACATGGCAGAACACTGAAAATGGGCAGAACAGTTACTATTCTTTGAGGAGAGCTGGAGAATGGCAAAGGTTCTGGATGATGGTGAATTTTATCCATGTTTTTAGAAAGGGGGTAAAATTTGGATTTTGATGTATACTTAGGTTTCACATTAGTCCTCAGCAACATTTAGACTGAATTTTAAAATAGGTGGTTTGTGAGTACTTAGATTAGGGAGAAATAATCAGTAGGAATAAGTTTGGGTTTACGAAGAGCGAATGAGATCAAAGAAACCTTGGTCTTTTCTTTCATAGGTCTCCTAGTTAATAAAGAAATGCTGAAAATCCACTATTTCAACCTGGCCTTGGGCAATTCCCCAGAAACAGCATTTGGTTGCTTTGTTATAGGACTTGGCCCTTTGCTCTTTGTCAGACTGTGGATGAGACCAAAAAAAGACATGTTTATTAAATTTGCAGATGACTAAGTTTTAATGCTTTGAAAAATAGAATTGGGATTTATAATTGGGCTGAAATGATAAACCAATATTGAAAAGATGAAATCTCATCAGGATTTATATAACCATTTATGTACAAATAATTCAGCATTCATGTGCTTATGTTCAAGAAAATGAAGGTCTATTTTAAGAACAGTCAGTGAGAAAGTTCTAGTGATTTTAGTTGACTGCAAGCTCAATGTGAGCCAATAGTGAAGAGTACTGCCAAGACATGGGGATACAAATCTACACTGCATTAATAACAGCTGAGTGTCCAGAGTAAGGGAAATAGTCATCCCACTTCTTTGTGATTCTCAGACCACACACATTTGGAGTCTTGAGTCCTTAGATCTGGGTTCCCTATTTCAAGAGGAAATATTGACAAAGTGGAGCATATCCGGAAGTGGGTGAGCAGGATGATGAAGACAGCAAAAATCATGTCAAATAGGAAATGGCTGAATAAAGTGGGAGCATAATTACTCTCTCCCATTATGTGAAAGAAGGAGTAATCAAATATTATGTCACTCCAGAGAGCAGAACTAAAACCAGTGTGGTTGGAGAATTTAAAGAAAGCAAATTATGATACAATACAAAGAAGAAATACAAACTTCAGCTCTTAAAATTTAAGTGGGATTAAGTATTAGTTGTCAGTATTGTAGGGATGATAATTCTTCCCAATTCAATTTTAATGAAAACTCAATAGAAAACAAGAAGACAGAAACACCTGTGGTATTTTTGTGGGGCTGGGGGCAAATTCCAAAAATCACCTAGAAAAATAAATAGACAATAATGACTTTGAAAATTAGAAAGAGAAGGTTGGTTGAGCACTACATAGGCTATAATGATTAAATGAAAATGACACTGGTACAGACAAATCAATGGAATAGTTATTTCAGAGATAGACTCTGATATATCAATAACTTAATAGAAAACAAATGGGTATAACAACTGGGGACATACAGACTATTTATTTATTTATTTATTGAGACAAATTCTTTCTCTGTTGCCCAGACTGGAGTAAAGTGGTGCGATCTCGGCTCGCTGCAACCTCTGTCCCCCTGGATTCAAGTGATTCTCCTGCATCAGCCTCCGGAGTAGCTGGGATTACAGGTGTGTGCCACCACACCTGGCTAATTTTTTTATTTTTAGTAGAGACGGCATTTCACCACATTTGCCAGGCTGGTCTTGAACTCTTGAACTCAGGTAATCCACCCACCTCAGCCTCCCAAAGTGCTAGGATTACAGGCGTGAGCCACTGCACCCGGCCCAAACTATTTAATAAATTTTCTAGGACAATTCATTTGGTAACTGGGGAAAGACAAAACACTTCAAAAAAACTTCCTGGTAGTTTAAATTAAATGTTAAATGGTTAGAAATAAATAAATAAGGGCCGGGCGCGGTGGCTCACGCCTGTAATCCCAGCACTTTGGGAGGCCGAGACGGATGGATCACGAGGTCAGGAGATCGAGACCATTCTGGCTAACACGGTGAAACCCCGTCTCTACTAAATATACAAAAAATTAGCCGGGCATGGTGGCAGGTGCCTGTAGTCCCAGCTACTCCGGAGGCTGAGGCAGGAGAATGGCGTGAACCTGGGAGGCGGAGGTTGCAGTGAGCCGAGATCTCGCCACTGCACTCCAGCCTGGGCGACAGAGCAAGACTCCGTCTAAAAAAAAAATAAATCAATAAAAATAAATAAATAAAACCAGGCCAGGCACAGTGGATCACACCTGTAATCCTAGCACTTTAGGAGGCCGCGGCGGACAGATAGCATGAGCCCAGGAGTTCGAGACCAGTCTGGGCAATATGGTGAAACCCCATCTCTACTAAAAATACAACAACTGAGGTGGGAGGATCACCTGAGCCTGGGAAAGTCAAGGCTGCAGTGAGCTGTGATCGCGCAACTGCACTCCAGCCTGGGTGAGAGTGAGAGCCCATTTCAAAAAATAAACCAAAAACACAAAAATTAGAAAAATTAGAATTGAGTACTTAGAAAATCCCTGCATTTGGGGAGAAATGTTCTGTTTTATTACATTTTACTGTACAACATTTCAAATATTAAAATAAATAGAGAGTATAACAAATACCTGTATATTTCTTATCTAGGTTTGCCAATTGCTAACATGTTGTCATATTTACTTTATTTTTTTAAAGCATTTGGAGGTAAATTATAATGTTGCTTTACCATTATGTTCTTTAGTATCTCTAAAATAAAGATATTTTAATTTTTTGTGTATATATATATATATATATATATATATATATATATTTTTTTTTTTTTTTTTTTTTTTGTAGCAATGGGGTTTCACCATGTTGGCCAGGCTGATCTCGAACTCCTGACCTCAGGTGATCCACCTGCCTTGGCCTCCCAAAGTGCTAGGATTATAGGTGTGAACCACTGTGCCTGGCCAAATAAAGATTTTTTTCTTAACTGAGCACAATACTTTTATCATGAGCACAGCTACAAAATTAAATAATTCTCTGCTATCTTCTGATACCCAGTATACATCCAGATTTCCTCTGTTGGCCCCAGTGTGTTTTCCAGCCAAGTTGCTCAAATCAGGATCCAGTCAATGACCTGCATGATTCTTAATATGTGGTGAGCTATGGCTCATATTTCTCTGTTAGTTGAGAAAAGTTCTGTTTCCTTCTTGCTTATTTTATTTTATTTTATTTTTTAGATGGCGTCTCACTTTGTCACCCAGGCTGGAGTGCAATGGTGCAATCTCAGCTCACCGCAACCTCTGCCTCCCAGGTTTAAGCAATTCTCCTGCCTCAGCCTCCTGAGTAGCTGGGATTACAGGCACCCACCACCTCGCTCGGCTAATTTTTTTATTTTTAGTAGAGACGAGGTTTCACCATGTTGGCCAGGCTGGTCTTGAACTCCTGACCTCAGGTGATCCACCCCCTCGGCTTCCCAAAGTGCTGGGATTATAGGCGTGAGTCACCACGCACAGCCCCTTCCCGCTTTTTTGTTGTTGTTGTTTTGTTACATTTTCTTGCTGAAGAGACTGGATCAATTTTCTTTTTCTTTCTTTCTTTTTTTTTTTTTTTTTGAGACTGGGAATGAGTCTTGCTCTGTCGCCCAGGCTGGAGGGCAGTGGCGCGATCTCGGCCCACTGCAAGCTCCGCCTCCTGGGTTCACGCCATTCTCCTGCCTCAGCCTCCCGAGTAGCTGGAACTACAGGGGCCTGCCACCATGCCCGCTAATTTTTTTTTGTATTTTTAGTAGCGATGGGGTTTCACCGTGTTAGCCAGGATGGTCTAGATTTCCTGACCTCGTAATCCACCTGCCTCGGCCTCCCAAAGTGCTGGGATTACAGGCGTGAGCCACCGCGCCCGGCCACGAGACTGGATCAGTTTTCCGGTAGAATTCCACCTTCTGGATTTATATGATTGTTTCCTTCTGGTTTCATTTAAATTTTAGGTAACTCTCTGCTGTATTTCCTGGAGACTGGAAATTTTGATCTAAAGTTGTTACTGATGTCAGGTAAAACATTTTTGTCAAGTGTGTTTCATGGGTGATGCTGTGAACATTATATCCTATCATATCAAGAGTTGTACAATACTTAGTTGTGTTACTTTTTATGATATTAAGATCGATCTTTAGATTAATGGTAAATGGGGAAATTACTAGATCTCTCTATTATAAAGTTACGATTTCCCCCCCTTGAGACAAGTAAATATTCTGTGTGCTAAGAACTCAGCAGCAGATTAGTATCCAGTGCCTTTATCAACCTTATACTCAATGCTGTTGGCACCCATTGCTGACTGTTGTCTGAACCAGTTACTCCATTACAAGTTGCAAAATGGTGATTTTTCCAATTGTTAGTGTTTTTGCTTTCATTAACTAAGATTCTTCTAATAGAGTTCGCCTTATTAATTAGAGCTATGTGTTACTCCGGCCGGGCGCGGTGGCTCACGCCTGTAATCCCAGCACTTTGGGAGGCCGAGACGGGCGATCACGAGGTCAGGAGATTGAGACCATCCTGGCTAACACGGTGAAACCCCGTCTCTACTAAAAATACAAAAAATTAGCCAGGTGTAGTGGCGGGCGCCTGTAGTCCCAGCTACTCAGGAGGCTGAGGCAGGAGAATGGCGTGAACCCGGGAGGCGGAGGTTGCAGTGAGCCACGATCCCGCCACTGCACCCCAGCCTGGGCAACGGAGCAAGACTCCGTCTCAAAAAAAAAAAAAAAAAAAAAAAGAGCTATGTGTTACGCCAAAACAGAGTTCCATTTGGAAAAGAAAGAATTCATACTTAACTCTCGACTAATTTTCGTGTAAGGAATTGGTATAATAGTTACCTCAATGAGGGGCAAATATGTCTTTTCATTCTGGGCTGAGTATCATTAGGACTTTTATATATTCAAGTGTGTCACTCAATTATAGTATTCTTTATGATGCTGTGATAGATTGTATTTACCAAAGCAGGATACACCAATATATTCAGTCTCACATGGTCTTCCTATAATGTGATATTGACACATCTCCATTGCTTCTGCCTGGCACTCTCTTGGGACACATGCTTTTAGTGAAATCCAACCACCCTGAAGCCACCATGTTAAAAGACCATAAGGAAAAGCAACATAAGAGGCACGCAGAGATGATTAAGGAGACCTAATTATTCCATTCCTCAATGTTCCAGTTCAGGCACCAGACATGTGAGTGAATGAACCCTCAGAGGATTTCATTCTCCAGCTTTTGAGGTGCTCAAATGATGCTAAGTGGAGTAGAAACCAGCTAACCCTCTGAACCCTTCCCAGACTACAGATTTGTGAGAAAAATAAATGTTTCAAGCTAAGTTTGGCATGACTTTTTACATAGCCATAGTAACTAGAAAAGATGCTTTTGGTGAAGTTGGCTTTTGGGGGCCTCTCCACGTTGATTCCTGTCCTTTGACACGACCCTACTTCTCTTCAGTAATTTCCTTGCTTTCTGCTATAAGACAATGTGCTAAGCTCATCTTATACATTCTCTGCCTCAGATTTAAAATCAGCCTTTTCCCCAAAGAGCCCTGGTTCTTTTTAGTGAGGAATGGTATTTAGAGTTTAAAATCTGGTCATCGGCTGGGCGCGGTGGCTCATACCTGTAATCTCAGCACTTTGGGAGCCTGATGTGGGTGGATCACAAGGTCAGGAGTTCGAGACCAGCCTGGCCAACATAGTGAAACCATGTCTCTACTAAAAATAAAAAAATTAGCTGGGCATGGTGGCATGCACCTGTAGTCCCAGCTACTTGGGAGGCTAAGGCAGGAGAATCGCTTGAACCCGGGAGGTAGAGGTTGTGGTGAGCCAAGACTGCACCACTGCACTCCAGCCTGGGCAACAGAGTGAGACTCTGTCTAAAAAAAAAAAAAAAATCAAAAAAAAAATCTGGTCATTATGGAAACTTTCAATGGAACAAAAACAATGGAAAAAATTACAAATGATGACAATAAAACACTTCAACATGTTTCCCAAAAGCAGAATTTAAAGGCAAACAATGAAGCTCAACAGAATAAAGAAACATATTAAAAATTCAGTGAAAATAAAAATCAATGTGGACAAGCAATTCTTAAAAGACAGAATGCCGATGAATAGTAATCATTGAATCATTTTCAACTTTCTATACTATTTTTCCTTTACCAAATTATATTATATTTATTTATTTATTTATTTATTGAGACAGGGTCTCACTCTGCCACCAAGGCTGGAGTGCAGTGGCGTGATCATGGCTCACTGCAGCCTCGACCTCCCAGGCTCAACCCATTCTCCTGCCTCAGCATCCTGAGTAGCTGGGACCACAGGTGTGCACCACCATGCCCAGCTAATTTTTCTATTTTTCATAGAGACAGGGTCTTGCCATGTTGCCTAGGCTGGTCTCAAACTCCTGAGCTCAAGCTGTCTACCCATCTTGGCCACCCAAAGTGTTAGGATTACAGGCATGAGCCACTGCACCCAGCCAGATTTCCCTTAAAAGAAATAGGCCTCAATGCTGACAAGAATGCAGTATGAATGAGTCGTCCAGGTTAGAAGGTCAACTCTGCTTTCTGTGGTAATTTAGTGGCCCAGTTTTCTTCTGTTCATTTGCTCTGCCATTCCCCGTTAAAGCTGTGTGGTTGAAGTGAGGTCACAGGCAAATCTGTGTTTTAGCTTGCATAAAGGAAACAAAAGAAGTTTAAGGCAAGCAATGTTCTTTGAGGCAAGAAAGGAGAAATTCTGCTCAGAAGGCCACACTGAGTTGCAAGGGAGCTTGGGAGCTGTAGTCTTTGGGCAGGCAGTTATATATCTTGCCTAAACACTATTACTTTGAAATAAGATCGCATCCTTTAATTCAATAGTTCATTTTCTTATAGTCTTTCCTGAGGAAATAAATGAATTTCAGAAAACAAGTGTTAATTACCTAATGAACAATAACTCAGCCAACGAGAGAAATATTCAGTATGTTATTTACTGGAGAAGGAAGCTACTTAAGAAGCATCTATATAGTTTCATTAAAGGGTGTTAGAGGCCATGATGAGGAGTTAAATGAGATGGAAAATGACTGGAGAGCGTTTTTTTGTTTTTTTGTTTGTTTGTTTGTTTGTTTTTTTGAGACAAGGTATTACTCTGTTACCCAGTCTGGAGTGCAGTGGCATGATTGTGGCTCATTGCAGCCTCAACCTCCCTGGGCTCAGGGGATCCTCCCACCTCAGCCTCCTGAGTAGCTGGGACTACAGGTGTGTACCACCACTCCAGGCTAATTTTTAAATTTTTTTTAGGGATGGGGTTTCGCCATGTTGCTCAGGCTGAGAGAGTTTTAAGTAAGAGAGAGAACATTCTGCTTGCTCTATAGAGGACAACTGGAAGCTGTTGCTGTAGTCCAGGAGACAAGTGATGATGGTAGCCTGTGCTAGAGTTTAGGAGTAGTGACAATCTTTTGAATATTAAACCTTTGTTAACTCTATAGATTTTGGAAGGAACAATTTGTCAGTGAGGCCACATTTCGCACTTCACTTAGCTCATATTATAAGAAATAGTGGCAAAAGATCACTGTATGGGGGGTGTTGGTAGGTACCTGAACAGTGCTATTTTTAAATTGCCAGTTAATTTTAGCTAGAGAGATCAGCAAAATTCCAAGAAACTAAATACAAAAAGACACTTTTTTTTTTTTTTTATGATGGAGTCTCAAAGTCTACTATTTTTAGTAGAGATGGGGTTTCACCATGTTGGCTGGCCAGGCTGGTCTTGATCTCCTGACCTCAAATGATCCGCCCACCTCGGCCTCCCAAAGTGCTGAGATTACAGGTGCAAGCCACCACCACTGGCGAGAATTCACTTTCTTTGTCTACTTTAACTGCATTACTTTCTATGTATTTGATTTAGCAACTATATTTCAGATATTTGTGTGGAAACAGTATATCCCTAACAAGATTATAAACCCATCGAATATCATGCACTTTGGTATCATTTTCAGTGACTTGAACATAATAGGTGTTCAATTAAATAAGTGTAAAAGAATTAACTCTGTGATATTGTGATATATAAACAAACACATATATTAATATTCATCCCTAGTTTCTGACGCAGAGCTCATAAAACCTTGGTAATTTCCTAGATAATGAGGAGAGATTAGCATAATTTGCTATTCATAAGGCCCTTTCAACCAAACCTGAGTTTATGCTAATGAGGTGACTCTTGGTGGGGGCAGGGGCCTGCCCTAGATAGCTTCAGGATGGGAACTCTTTGCCAGAGAAACCAACCATGTGATTAGAGGATTTAAACTTTCAGATCCACCACACCTCCATAGAGGGGAGGGGGGCTGAAAATTGAGTCAGTCTCCAATGGCCAAAGATTTAATCAACCATACCTCTGTAATGGGACCTCCATAAAAAGAAACCATTAACAATAGGATTCAGAGAGCTTCCAAGTTGGTGAATGTATCCACATGTTGGGACCACATCAAACACCACGGGGACAGAAGCTCCTGCACTCTGGACACTTGGAGACCTCACCTTACATGCCTTTTCATCTGGCTGTTCATTTGTGTACTTTATAATATTCTTTATAACAAACTGGTAATAATAAGTAAAGTGTTTCCCTGAGTTCTGTGAGCTATTATAACAAATTATCAAACCTAAGGACGGAGTCAGTCGTGGGAACCCCCAATTTGTAGCCAAGCTGGACAAAAGTGTGGGTAACCTGGGTACCCACTACTTGTGATTTTTATTTGAAGTTGGGGGCAGTCTTGTGGAACTGAGCCCTTAACCTGTGGTGTCTGCGTTAACTCTGGGTAGTCAGTGTCAGAATTGAATTAAATTGTAGGGCACTTGGTGTCTGCAGAAAATTGGGAAATTTCTTGATGTGAAAAACCCACATATCTGGTGTCAGAGATGTTCTGTTTCAGTAGAAACAGTAGTAGACTTGAACAGTTTTACTCTTTATATAGCTTATTTCCAATAGAGAACAAATGGAAACAAGTGCTCTTGGAATCTCATATTGAATTCCACAGTCACAAGCATCCTGGTCAACTCAGGGGAAAATATCACACACTTGGTACAAAGCAAATAGATGAGTTAAATATTATATATTAAATGACAAATTTATTATGATATTAGTAATTTATAATTATTAGATTGAATTATTTCCATAAAAATATGCAAATACTATTATATTGATTACAATATCAAATAATGATATTATAGCCTTAATTAACATATAAGAAAATGGCACAATTCACTTTAAATATAAGGGACAAAGACAAAATAATGAAAACCAAGGGTTTGCATATTTTGTGATTATTTTATAGGAAACAGCTAATTATTAAACTAAGGAAAACTAAAATTAAATATTTATTTTTCTACTTAAGAAGTGTCTTGGCCGGGCACAGTGGCTCACGCCTGTAATCCCAGCACTTTGGGAAGCCGAGGCAGGTGGATCACCTGAAGTCAGCAGTTCGAGACCAGCCTGGACAACATGGTGAAACCCTATCTGTACTAAAAATACAAAAATTGGCCAGGTGTGGTGGCACATGCCTGTAATCCCAGCTACTTGGGAGGCTGAGGCAGGAGAATCACTTGAACCCGGGAGGGGGAAGTTGCAGTGAGCCAAGATTGTGCCACTGCACTTCAGCCTGGGGGACAGAGCAAGACGGTGTCCAAAAAAAACAGTGAATTCTCCTCTCTGCTAGGGGAGCATTATATTTTTTGTAATTTTAGAATTACATCATTTCTGGTCACAGCTGTCTAAGCGGGCTATGATTTTGCTTCATAAAGTCTTATTGATTTTGATTATTCTTACCTTAAAGATTACATGTGTTACCATTTATCCTAATGAAATTAAGATAAAACCTGATTTTTTTTACCAGCCTTTAGATTCAGTATTAGACACAGAACATTTTATAAGGATCCTTGATAAGGCTCTTACTTCCTTGTCTTATCACAGAAGTAGAATTAGAAGCTCTGTAACAAATATCCAACCCCTCCACCATTTTGATAATCTGTTTTTGGACTGGGTATATAGTAGGTGATCAATAAATGATTATTGAATGAATGAATGTAAGCCTGAATGGATGGTTCTGACTTCCTGTCTGCTTATCTGCCTATCCGTCCAGGTCTGTACATCTATTTCTGTTGGACTATATGTGAATCCTCTCAAAATAGAATTATTGTGTATTGCACTGAGTCTCATGGTTACCTCACTGAGATTGCCCATGAACTAAACTCAGTGGTGACTAGCTTAAAACACACACACACACCACCTACCAATATTTTATGACTTAAACATATATATATGTATATATGTATATATAGATATATATAAACTCTTATATAAAAGATGATCTACTGAAAGGCGGTGGGGTATGGTGGTGGTAGTGATTTATAGATGAAATCACTCCCACGGCATTGGCATCTTGGCAGTAGCTTATTCCTCAGCTTCTCTGAACTAGGCGTGGAACTCCAGTTACTTCCCATATATCTGATACATTTAGGCTGCAACAAATTCAAGTGCTTTTCTTGCTTATTTTTCCCTTCTTTTAGAACAGAAGAAACCAGAAAAAAAATATTTTGTGAGAAAACAACAGTTCCTTACTCTGTACCACCTGCTTAAATGCAAACCAAAGGCACTCAAATGATGCAACCCAAGAGTGTGGAAGAGGCTGGCGGATGGGCTGTCACGTCTGGCTGATCTGATGTCAGAGCAGATCATGTGGTGCTCTGTGGGCAGCTGGGACTGGCCCGCCGAAAGCACATGGATTACAGTCTGAGGCTGTAATGGGAAAGTCGGTTCCTGGGCTGCTGTCTCATAGACATCAGCTTGCAGGGAAGCTGGGGGCTCTCCGAATTGCCCTGCTCCGGGGCCCCTCCTGCTGCGTGACTCACAGGCACATTGCAGAGAGAAGCTGCCGCTCCCAGTAAGTGCTTAAAGAAGGTCTTTATTCAGAGCATTTTGGAAGCGGGGAGGAAGTGTTTGTGTTGATAGGGGGTGCTGGAAGCCTTTGTAAAACCCCCTCCTTGGGTCTGGGCTGGGCAGCGGCGCTTTCCATGCCATTCTGGAGTTCAAAGGCAGCGCTGATGTGCAAATGTTCCCCAGCCCTGGTTTTGGTTTGTTCTCCATGTGATGTGTTTTTCTGATTTGCATTTTCTCTTTCTGTAATCGTAGGGCAGATTTTTAAGATCTGGTTAAAGTGAATTGATTTATTTGAGATTCCCAGCCCCAGAGTGGACTTGGTGTTCCCTGTATGATAAGCAGGGAGAGGGGCAAGAGGGTGGTGGCTCTTTTGGTCAGAATACTGCTTGTGTTAAGACACTGGCTGTGTCTGTGCCGGAGAAAGTGGTTGCCACCCCTTCTCTGCATTGGGTGAGTAGGTGGTGTGAGAGAAAGCGGGGGTGAACCAGCAGTAAAGAGATTTAATTAGTTTTTGGTAAACAGCAGTGCTATTAGTATGTTGCCTTTTTTTATGGTCAAAATTTATATTAAATAGTGTCAGCTGGCAGAACAGGTGCTGGCAGTAGAAGAATGATGGAGTTCTTTCTCCCTTTCCCAGCTAGTGAATTGTCTTTCCTGCATCGAAAGCCCAATTAAGGAGTAGAGAGAAATGTAACAGATACAGATTTCTGAGCAGTGTTTTTTTGTTTGTTTGTTTGTTCTTTGGCTTGGTTTTTATTTTTTATTCCTAAAAAGCACCACATTCCCACACTCATGCATCAGGAATGATTCTCACCTCGACGATGTCTTAGGTGTGGCCTTTTTGGAGAGCAAAGGAATAAATTCAATAACATCTTTCTCTTCCTCCTGAGCATATAACATTAAGTTTGCTTTAGAGACTGAAAATAAATGTGTGTGGTTGGAAGGAGATATAAAGGGGAATTTAGAAGAACAGATTGTTTATTTGCCCTGGCACTTTTCTGTGAACACTTGATAGAGTTCTAGGTCAAGGTGTATGGTGTCCCCTTGAGGGATAATAGGCAAATAATTAGGCTATGTCTTTAAGCATTGGAAAATCTTTATTTTTTAAAGGAAGAGAACCTAGTCTTTTCTATGAATCTCTGCACAAACCAGAGACTTTGGGGCCAAACACTGATTCCAGAAACACTTAGGCATTGAAGAAACTTTTGGGTGAGAAAGATGATGGTATGAATGCAAAGAAAATATGCTTAGATGAGTTTTGTCCTTTTTTTTTAGCCTTTTGCAGTATATGGTTTAAGTCACAGAACAACAAACAACAGAAGAGAGCATGCCCCACCCAGTGTTGTGAACATGGATGATTCCCCTCCCATTCTATTCCACTGAACTGCATAAACACTAGCACAGAGACAGTTCTAATTCATCTTTTGAACCCTGTATGTTACAGGTACAAGCCATATAAAATGAAGACATAGAGAAATGGAAGATCCTCCCACCCCACCCTACTTTCTCCTCCTTCCATATTGTTGAGTGAAGCTATATTCATCTTGGAAAGGGTCTGCATCACTGCTTGTAATTTTGTTAGCCATTTCTTGTAGACGAGCACGGTGTGAGGAATTCAGAGGTAGTCTTCCTGATCTGGCCCTCCGTCTCTGCCTAGACCACACCCCCTTTTTTGGCCACATGCCTAAAACTCTCTGAAGGGGAGTGTGATAAAACGATGCTCATCCTTGGGCACATGGATTCCTCGGTCACAAAACTGAAGAGGCCTGATTTCTCTGCAGACACACATTTCCTGCTTCTCAGGGTGAAGATACCCATTTATGGGGGTTTTAGAATTCCTTTTCTTTAACACAGTAATGTGAAAAGAAATGGAAGAAAATTATCCATTTTTCCATCTCACTCACACAACTATGTTTAATGTCCTGTATCCTCTTCCTGTCTTTATCATCACATTAGGCTAGCTATGTTTAATGCAGAAGGGCTATCCACACTCCTTCAGATTTCTGCTTTTCAGGGAAGGCACCTGTAGTTACAGTCTTAGAACTGGACCAGACCCTATTAGGACTGATAGTTCAGCCATATTTCACAGAGGGTAAAGCTGGTCAGAGTTACACATCTGATGAGTGACAGAGTTGGGACTAGAACTCAGATTGCCTGACTGCCCAGTGCTCCTTCTGCAATCATGCAACCTAAGGAGAGAACATTTTCTTTAAAAATTAGGTGTTTTTTTCAATTTCTGGTTCTTTTTTATTTAAAATGCTGTGTAATTATTAGCATAGTAAAATGACTGTAATTTCACCGTCTTTCCCGAAGAATGTCTTGCAATAGATTGGAAAGTCAATTTTGTGTTTTTAAATTAGAGACAGGTTCTTGCTATGTTGTCCAAGCTGGACTCAATTCCTGGGCTCAAGTAATCCTCCTACCTTAGCCTCCCAAGTAGCTGGGATTACAGGCATGAGCCACTGTGCCTAGCTTTGCCTTTGTTTTTCTGTTTTTCGAGATAGGGTCTCTCTCTGTTGCCCAGGCTGGAGTGCAGGGGCATGATCATAGCTCATGTAACCTTAAACTCGGGTTCAAACAATCCTTCAGCCTTAGACTCCTGAGTGACTGGGACTACAGGTGCATGCTGCTATACCGGGATAATTTTTATTTATTTATTTATTTTTTTGAGACCGAGTTTCACTCTTGTTGCCCAGGCTGGAGTGCAATGGCGCGATCTTGGCTCACCGCAACCTCCGCTTCCCGGGTTCAAGCGATTCTCCTGCCTCAGCCTCCCGAGTAGCTGAGATTACAGGCATGCGCTACCATGCCTGGCTAATTTTTTTTGTATTTTTAGTAGAGACGGGGTTTCTCCATGTTGGTCAGGCTGGTCTTGAACTCCTGACCTCAGGTGATCCGCCCGCCTCGGTCTCCCAAAGTGCTGGGATTACAGGCATGAGCCACCCCGCCCGGCCCCTTAAATGTTTTTTGTAGAGATGGAGTCTTGCTGTGTTGTCAGGGCTGGTCTGGAACTCCTGGGCTCAAATGATCCTACTGTGTTAGCTTCCCTAGTAGCTGGGATTACAGGCATGCACCATCACACCTAGTTCAGATTGGGAAATCTTTACAGAGAAAATTAAGTTCTGTTTTCTTAGGAAAGTAGCATATTTATATTCTTTGTGGGTCATGTGATGAGATCTCAAATACCTGATTGTTATAGTTTTCTAATCTTGGCTTTCTGAGAATGTAGACTACCCTAATTTTTTTTTTTATTTTTTTTTTGAGACTGGGTCTCAGTCTGTCACCCAGGCTGGAGTGCAGTGGTGTGATCACAGCTCATGTAACCTTGAACTCTTGGGCTCAAGTGATCCTCTCACCTCAGCCTCTTGAGTAACTGGGATTATAGGCAAGCACCACTATGCTGTCTTCTACCCTAATTAATAAGGGGGATTATTGTTCAGTTATGGCAAATCACATACCACGAGAACATTTAGAAGCTTCATTCTATTTGGGTGGTTTTCTGAGTCATAGATTTTTTTTTTTTTTTGAGAAAGGGTCTGTCTGTCACCCAGGCTGGAGTACATTCGTGCAATCTTGGCTTAATGCCACCTCCGCATCCTGGGCTCAAGCCATCCTCCTATCTCAGCCCCACCAAATAGCTGGGACCACAGGTGTGTGCCACCACGCCCAGCTAACTTTTGTATTTTTTGTAGACACAGGGTTTCACCTTGTTGCCCAGGCTGGTCTTGAACTCCTGGGCTCAAGCGATCCACCCGCCTCAGCCTCCCAAAGAGCTGGGATTACAGGCATGAGCCACTGCGCCTAATGTTCTTTCTTTATACAAACCTATTCATGGTGACATATTTAAAAACCATTTAAGGGGCCGGGCACGGTGGCTTACGTCTGTAATCTCAGCACTTTGGGAAGCCAAGGCGAGAGGATCACGAGGTCAGGAGATTGAGACCATCCTGGCTAACACCGTGAAACCCTGTCTCTACTAAAAAAAAAAAAAAAAAAAAAAAACAAAAATTAGCCGGGCGTGGTGGCATGTGCCTGTAGTCCCAGTTACTCAGGAGACTGAGGCAGGAGAATCTCTTGAACCTGGGAGGCAGAGGTTGCAGTGAGCCAAGATCGTGCCACTGCACTCCAGCCTGGGCGACAGAGCGAGATTCCGTCTCAAAAAAAAAAAAAAAGAAAAACAACAACAACAAAAAACCATTTCAGGCTGGGCATAGTAGCTCATGCCTGTAAATTCCAGCACTTTGGGAGGCCGAGGTGGGCAGATCACTTGAGGTCAGGAGTTCGAGACCAGCTTGACCAACATGACAAAACCTTGTCTCTACTAAAATTACAAAAATTAGCTGGGGGTGGTGGCATGCGCCTGTGGCCCCAGCTACTAGGAGGGGTGAGGTAGGAGGATGGCTTCAAACCAGGAGGCGGAGGTTGCAGTGAGCAAAGATCGCAACCTGCACTCCAGCCTGGGTGACAGAGTGTAACCCTGTCTCAAAAAAAAAAACCTGAAATAATAAAAACAAAACAAAGAAAGAAAGATTTAAAAGATGTTTAATTCAAAATAAAATTTCAGATTAATTTTTTCCCTGTTGAGATCAATGCTAGACCCACAAGAGATTTAAAAAAAAAAACTTGTTCATTGATAGAACAAATATATAGAACATTGCAATTCTTGCTTATGAGTATAATGAGATTTAAAAGGTAATCCAACATTATGCTGTTCCATAATGTTTTTAGAATGCCCATCTGTTAATTATTCAGTCTTATTTTGGTAAGGGTAAGACTCCCGCGTTATTTGCTTAAAATAACGCACATGTGAATAAATGTCATAGATAATTCACCTGTGTTGATGCTATTTGTAAAAGCAATAAACACAAAATTAGATTGGGTGTTGTTTAATTACAATTTTTGGAAATCTCAAATTCAATACAGAGGTCCTCTGATTATATCCTGGATATGCAATAGTCAGTTTCTACTGGTTGAGTGAGGGTATCTCTTCATTGTAGACATTAAACTGTAGTGATATATTGGGAGAAATTAGTTCTGGTGGCTTTGAGTGGTTTCAAAAAGAATAATTGGGACACTGTTCTAAACAGCCAACACTGTCTAGCTCAGAAACAAATGACTGCATGTGTGACATTTCTAAATGGTGACATCTTCAAGGAACCCTCTAAATGGTTACTTATTTTAAGCTTCAGGTTATGGAGGAAAGAAAAAATTAGTCAGGGGATATTAGTTGTTAATGGTCCTAGTATGAACAGACAGAAACTCCAAATAAAGATATCATTTATTTCCAAAAGATGTAACTAAGAGGAAATGCAAAAAAAAAAAAAATGCAAAGTTCAGTAAAGTGAATAGCTGCTGTACTAATTGTAAATTTCACTCTTTGAGGTCTTGGGTGCCTTTAACCGATTCCATTTAGGCAGAAAGCACAAGCAAATATCTCTTGTTGTAAACAAAGCAACAAATTTAAGTTAATGCTAATGTGTTCACAGCCAGAGCCAAAAGTTTTTCAGGGTTATTATAACACACTGGGCTCTCAGCCCATCCATCTAAATGTCCAAAGTACACTAAAGTTATGGATTGGCCCATTGTATATACCATCCCACATGAGAGCCAGATGCTACTGTTTACTGTGCTAGTGACTTAGCCAGATTCAATGTGAAATCTGAGATTACTGTTTGGGGTCCATGGAAGTTATAGATGGATTTTTCTGATCATGGATTTAGGCTTCTATACTTCGATCTGTTTTGATTAATGCCGATTTTTTTTTAAGGACAATCTTTTAAACCTAATTATACCCTAAACTTTAGATGGAGAGTTTCCTTGTAAAAATTGTTTTCATTTATTGTCTTTGGACCTTGGATGTGTTGTAGGTCTTCAGCATCTATCTATCTATCTATCTATCTATCTATCTATCTATCTATCTATCCGTCTATCTAGAGGGAGACAGGGTCTTGTTCTGTCACCCAGGCTGGAGGGCGGTGGTGTGATCATAGCTTACTGCAGTCTCGAACTCTTGGCTTCAAGCGATCTTCCAGCCTCAGCCTCCCAGGTAACTAAGATTACAAGACTACAGGAGAGTGACAGGACTACAACCATGACCAGTTAATTTTTTAAGTTTTATTTTTCTGGAGACAGTGTGTTGTTCTGTTGCCCAGGCTGGTCTTGAACTCCTGGCTTCAAGCAATCCTCCTGCCTTAGCTTTCCAAAGTGCTGGGATTACAGATGTGAGCCATTGCACCCCACCTTTAGCATTTTTTTTTTTTTTTAGACGGAGTCTTGCTCTGTCACCCAGGCTGGAGTGCAGTGGTGCGATCTCAGCTCACTGCAACCTCCGCCTCCCTGGTTCAAGCCATTCTCCTGCCTCGCCTCCCAGGTAGCTGGGACTACAGACATGCGCCACCACACCTGGCTAATTTTTGTATTTTTAGTAGAGATGGGGTTTCACCATGCTGGCCAGGCTGGTCTCAAATTCCTGACCAGGTGATCTACCCACCTCGGCCTCTCAAAGTGCTGGGATTATAGGTGTGAGCCACTGCACCCTGCTTTTAGCATATTTTTATTCTTTGTTTTGAGCATGGAAAAGAAGCCATGGAATTCTATTGCATGGCAACCACACTAGAAAATGTAATTATAATGCAGATTTTAAGATGATTTGGTAAAAAAACCAGTTCTGTATATATTGATTTAGAAAAATACTATCCACTGTCTTAAGAAAATGTGGCACATATACACCATGGAATATTATGCAGCCATAAAAAATGATGAGTTCATGTCCTTTGTAGGTACATGGATCAAGATGGAAACCAACAGTCTGAGCAAACTATTGCAAGGACAGAAAACCAAACATCACATATTCTCACTCATAGGTGGGAATTGAACAATGAGAACACCTGGACACAGGGTGGGGAACATCACATACCAGGCCTGTCATGGGGTGGGGAGAGGGAGGAGGGATAGCATTAGGAGATATACCTAATGTAAATAATAAGTTAATGGGTGCAGCACACCAACATGGCACATGTATACATATGTAACAAACCTGCATGTTGTGCACATGTACCCTAGAACATAAAGGATAATAAAAAAAAAATTTAAAAAAAGAAAGAAAAAGACTATCCACTGTCCTCAGTTGGAAAGAAAATTTCATCATTCAAGACCCAGTATTATCAGATTTTGTTGACATAGTTAGATCCCTTATCCCTTAACCCTATCTGATTTGGTTTATGTCCTTTTCATCCAACTAAACTGGTTTTTGAGGAAGTATCACAAGTAATGATAATACTACCAATAATACTACCAATACTACAAAAGCAACTGTTGTAGGGGAGGAAAGATTTCTTTTCCTCATCCATTGCTAAGTTCATGGCTGAGGCACCTATAACAAAAGACAGATTAACCAGAGAAAATCATAAACCAAATTCACTTAATTAATATATTTACATGACATAAGAGCCTTCAGAAATGAAGACCCAAAGAAACAGGTAAATTTGTACATTTTTGTGCTTAGGTTTGATGAAGAGTAGACAGTTGTGGAAAAGTATGATTGGACAAAGGAGGTGTGATCTAATGGTAATAAACTGGGGGACTTAGCTAGACCTGTGTATTCATATTTGTCTCTGTGTCCCTGTGCCTTTGGAGATAAGAACATTCCTTTCCTCCATATATAGGGTGGGCACCTCTCCATGAGAGCCTTAATTACTTATTTCACAGGAAGGTCAAAGAATTGTGTTTTGGCTTACTTCAGGGGAGAAGGTCAACGAGTAACTTTTCTGCTTCTACTGCTTCCTCAAATGCCAAAGTGCCATATTTTGGGGTAGCAGGTCCTGAATCCCATCACTGCTAAATGCTGAGCACTTTCCATATGCAAGACCCTGTACTAATACTTCGTTTATTTAGGGACATTTCACAGATGGTAAGATGAACTTGCCCCAAATGTGTGACTTGTCATTTGAGAATCCAGTCAGTCCAGACTTTCTAAGTCTAAGGCCTATCTCATAACCTGTTGTTACTATTTTGACTATAAATTTCTATAGAGTTGTGTAGTCTGTTTTGCTTCAGACTTCGAAAACCACTTGTGACATCTGTACCAAACACAGTGACAATGGTCTCACTGCAACCTGAAAAGCCAGTTGTCCCTGGAACAGAAGTAACACTTTCCCTACCAGCAGTAACTTTTGAAGAATCTTCAGGTGCAGCTATTTGTCTTCCATCTGTGAAACCTTTTGTTACATCTACTGGGACCACATCTGACAAGCCTGTTATTGGCACTCCAATGCAAATCAAACTTGCCCAGCCGGGCCCTGTCCTTTCACAACCAGCTGGGATTCCACAGGCAGTTAAAGTCAAGCAACTAGTAGTTCAGCAGGCTTCAGGAGGCAGTGAAAAACGGGTGACCACACTTACACATTCCTCAGCATTGACCATTCAGAAATCTGGATAGAAGACAATGCCAGTGAACACCATAATACCTACCAGTCAGTTTCTTCCATCTTCTGTTCTAAAGCAAATTACTCTGCCTGGAAATAAAATTCTGTTGCTTCAAGCATCTTCTACTCAAAAAAATAAAGTAAAAGAGAATGGAACAATATGCTTCAGGGATGAAGATGACATCAATGATGTGACTTCTATGGCAGGGGTCAACCTTAATGAAGAAAATGCCTGTGTCTTAGCAACAAACTCTGAATTGGTTGGCACACTCATTCAGTCATGTAAAGATGAACCATTTCTTTTTATTGGAGTTCTACAAAAGAGAATTTTAGACATTGGTAAAAAGCATGACATTACAGAACTTAACTGTTGCTGTGAACTTGATCACCCATGCAACACAGGAAAAATTATGAAGCCTTCTAGAAAAACTGACTGCAATTGCTCAGCATTGAATGACTACTTACAAGGCAAGTGAAAATTACATCCTGTGTAGTGATACCAGGTCACACCTCAAATTTCTTGAAAAGCTGGATCAATTGGAGAAGCAGAGAAAGGATTTAGAAGAAAGAGAAATGTTACTTAAGGCAGCCAAGAGTCATTGTAATAAAGAAGATCCAGAACAGCTGAGATTAAAGCAGAAAGCCAATGAGTTACAGCAACTGGAACTTGAACAGATACAGCATAGAGATGCTAATCTCACAGCTCTTGCAGCTATTGGACCAAGGAAGAAGAGACCACTAGAACTTGGAAGTGAGGGCTTAAAAGACAACCTTCTTGCTTCTGGGACATCCAGCCTGACAGTCACCAAACAGTTGCTTCATCTAAGAATCACAAGAATCTGCCTCAGGGACTTGATATTTTGTATGGAACAGGAAGAGGAGATGAAATATTCTCGAGCTCTATACCTGGCCCTTCTGAAGGGACCACTCTACTCTCCATCCAGATCCTTGCAATTTACTGCCAAGGAAGACACAAAGAGCATTGTTGCACTGTTCTGAAATTTCGATTCCTGGAACATAATCACCAATATGAAAGAGCAAACAAATGGAAAAACATTTCATGCTCGTGGATAGGAAGAATCAATATTGTTAAAATGGCCATACTGCCCAAATCAATTTACAGATTCAACACTATTCCTATCTAAGTGACAATAATATTTTTTACAGAACTAGAAAAAGCTATTCTAAAATTCATAAGGAATAAAAAAAGAGGCCGAATAAACAAAGCAATCCTAAGCAAAAAGAACAAAGCTGGAGGCATTACACTGCTGATCTTCAAACTATACCACAGGCTGCAATAACCAAAACAGCATAGTACTGGTACAAAGACAGACACAGAGACGAATAGAACAGGTTAGAGAACACAGAAATAAAGTCGCAAACCTACAACCATCTGATCTTCAACAAAGCCTACAAAAATAAGCATTGGGGAAAGGATTCCCTATTCAATAAACACTGCTGGGATAACTGGCTAGCCATATGCAGAAGATTGAAACATGACTCCTTTCTTTCACCATATACAAAAATCAACTCAAGATGAATTACGGACTTTTTTTTTTTTTTTTTTTTGAGACAGAGTCTTGCTCTGTCGCCCAGGCTGGAGTGCAGTGGTATAATCTTGGCTCACTGCAACCTCCGCCTCCTGGGTTCAAGCAATTCTCTGCCTCAGCCTCCCTCGTAGCTGGAATTAAAAGTACCCCCCACCACGTCCAGCTAATTTTTGTATTTTTAGTAAAGAGGGGGGTTTCACCATCTTGGCCAGGCTGGTGTTGAATTCCTGACCTCGTGATCCACCCGCCTCGGACTCCCAAAGTGTTGGGATTACAGGCGTGAGCCACCGCGCCCAGCTGAATTAAGGACTTAAATATAAAATCTGAAACTGTAAAACCCCTAGCAGAACACATAGGAAGTACAATTCTAGACACAGGCTCTGGCAAAGATGTCATGACAAAGATTCCAAAAGCAATTGCAACAAAACAAAAAATTGACAAATGGGACCTAATTAAAGTAAATAACCTTTGCACAGCCAAGGAAACTATTAACAGAGTAAACAGACAACCTCCAGAATGGAGGTTTGCAAACTATGTATCCAGCAAAAGTCTATGTATCCAGCAAACGTCTAATATCCGGAATCTATAAGGCACTTAAAGCAAAAAACAAACAACCCTATTTAAAAATGGGCAAAGGAGGCTGGGTGTGGTGGTTCACACCTGTAATTCTAGCTCTTTGGGAGATGGAGTCGGGTGGATCACTTGAGGCCAGGAGTTTGAGAACAGGCTGGCCAATGTGGTGAAACCCTGTCTCTACTAAAAGCAAAACAAAAATTAGCCGGGCGTGGTGGCGCCTGTAATCCCAGCTATTTGTGGAGCTGAGGCATAAGAATCGCTTGAACCCAGGAGGCAGAGGTTTCAGTGAGCTGAGATGATGCCACTGCATTCCAGCCTGGGTGACAGAGCAGGACTCTGTCTCAAAAATATAAATGAATGAGTGAATGAATGAATGAATGAATAAAATGCAGTTTAAATCCAATGTTTGTTTGTTGGTTTTATGTCTAGATAATCTGTCTAATGCTGAGAGTAGAGTGTTTAAGTCCTCAACTATTACTGTATTAGAGTCTATTTCTCCCTTTATATCTGAGTGTTCCAGTGTTGGGTACATATATATTTACAATTATATTTATCGTATCCTCAGGCCTAGTGCAGTGGCTCATGCCTATAATCCCAGCACTTTGGGAGGCGAAGGCAGAAGGATTGCTTTGAGACCAGGAGTTAGACTAGCCTGGGCAACATAGTATGAGCCCATCTCTACAAAAAAAAAAAAAAAAAAAGGAAGGGCAAAGACATGGAGAGACACTTCTCAAAAGAAGACACACAGGCGGCCAACAGGCATATGAAAAAAATTCTCAAAACTAATCATTAGAGATATGCAAATCAAAACCACAATGAGATACCATCTCACACTAGTTAGAAGGGCTATTATTAAAAAGTCAGTGCTGGGCATGGTGACTCACACCTGTAATCCCAGCACTTTGGGAGGCTGAGGCTGGCAGATCACAAGGTCAGGAGATGGAGACCATCCTGGCTAACATGGTGAAACCCCGTCTGTACTAACAATAGAAAAGCAAAATTAGCTGGGCGTGGTGGTGGGTACCTGTAGTCCCAGCTACTTGGGAGGCTGAGGCGGGAGAATGGCGTGAACCCGGGTGGTGGAGCTTGCAGTGAGTGGAGATCGCGCCACTGCACTCTAGCCTGGATAACAGAGTAAGACTCCGTCTCAAAAAAATAAAAATAAAAAATAAAAAAAAAGTCAAAAAATAACAGATGCTGGCGAGGTTGCGGAGAAAAGTGAACACTTATCCACTGCTGGTGGGAATGTAAACTAGGTCAGCCACTATGGAAAGCAGTTTGAAGATTTCTCAAAGAACTTAAAAGAGAGCTACCCTTTGACACAGCGTCTCATCACTGAGTGTATAACAAAAGAAACATAAATTGTTCTACCATAAAGTCATATGCACACATATGTTCATTGCAGCACTACTCACAACAGCAAAGACATGGAATCAACCTAAAAGCCCATCAACAGTGGACTGGGTAAATAAAATGTGGTACATACACAACATGGAATACTACAGTCATTAAAATGAATGAGATCATGTCCTTTGTAGCAATATAGATGGAGCCGGAGGCCATTATCCTAAGCAAATTAACACAGTAACAGGAAACAAAATACCAGATGTTCTCATTTATAGGTGGAAGCTAAACATGGAGTACAAATACACATGGACATAAAGAAGGGAACATTAGACACTGGGGCCTACTTAAAGGTGGAGTGTGGGAGGAGAGTGAAGATTGGTACTTATCGGTTACTATGGTTATTACCTGGGTAACAAAATAATCTATACACCAAACCCCTGTAACATGCAATTATTATTATTATTTTTTTTTGAGACTGAGAGGTGACAACGTGCTAACAGCCCTTGCTCGCTCTCGGCACCTCCTCAGGCTACGGCATCCACTCTGGCTGCGCTTGAGGAGCCCTTCAGCCCGCAGCTGCACTGTGGGAGCCCCTCTCTGGGCTGGCCAAGGCCAAAGCCAGCTCCCTCTGCTTGCAGGGAGGTGTGGAGGGAGAGGCGTGGGCAGGAACCGGGGCTGTGCATGGCACTCGCAGGCCAGCACGGGTTCCAGGTGGGCACGGGCTTGGTGGGCCCTGCACTCAGAACGGCTGGCTGGAGCCACCAGCCCCAGGCAGTGAGGGGCTTAGCACCCGGGCCAGCAGCTGCGGAGGGTGCCCCGGGTCCCCCAGCACTGCTGGCCCACCTGTGCCTCGCTTGAATTCTCCCTGGGCCTCAGCCATCTCACCATAGGGCAGGGCTCGGGACCTGCAGCCCACCATGCCTGAGCCCCCACCCCCTCCATGGGCTCCCGCGTGGCCAGAGACTCCCCAATGGGTGCTGCCCCCTACTCTGCAGCGCCCAGTCCCATCGACTGCCCAAGGGCTGAGGAGTGCGGGCACGCGGCGTGGGACTGGCAGGCAGCTCTGCCCACGGCCCTGGTGCAGGATCCACTAGGCGAAGCAAGCTGGGCTCCTGAGTCGGGTGGGGACATGGAGAACTTTTATGCCTAGCTAAAGGATTGTAAATGCACCAATCAGCACTCTGTGTCTAGCTCAAGGTTTGTAAACGCACCAATCAGTGCTCTGTGTCTAGCTAATCTAGTGGGGACTTGGAGAACTTTTGTGTCTAGCTAAAGGATTGTAAATGCACCAATCAGCACCTTGTGTGTAGCTCAAGGTTTGTAAACACACCAATCAGCACCCTGTGTCTAGCTCAAGGTTTGTAAATACACCAATCAGCACCCTGTCAAAACGGACCAATCAACTCTCTGTAAAATGGGCCAATCAGCCCTGTAAAATGGACCAATCAGCAGGATGTGGGTGGGGTCACATGAGGGAATAAAAGCAGGCTGCTGGAGCCAGCACTCCTCGGGTCCTCTTTCATGCTGTGGAAGCTTTGTTTTTTCGCTCTTCACAATAAATCTTGCTGATGCTCAGTCTTTGGGTCCACGCCACCTTTATAAGCTGTAACAGTCACTGTGAAGGTCTGCAGCTTCACTCCTGAAGCCAGCGAGACCACGAACTCACTGGGAGGAATGAACAATTCCGGACGTGCCACCTTTATGAACTGTAACACTCATTGTGAAGGTTTGCAGCTTCACTCCTGAGGCCAGCGAGACCCCAAACCCACCAGAAGGAAGAAACTCTGGACACATCTGAACATCTGAAGGAAAAAACTCCAGACGCACCATCTTTAAGAACTGTAACACTCACTGCAAGCGTCCATGGCTTCATTCTTGAAGTCAGCGAGACCAAGAACCCACCAATTCCGGACACAAGATGGTCTCATTATGTCGCGCAGGCTGGAGCGCAGTGCTACAATCTCAGGCCACTGCAACCTCTGACTCCCATGTTCAAGCAATTGTCCTGCCTCAGCCTCTTGAGTGGTTAGGACTACAGGCGTGAGCCACCAACACCAGGCTAATTTCTGTATTTTTAGTAGAGACAGGGTTTCACCCTGTTAACCAGGCTGGGTTCTAAATCCTGGCCTCAAGTGATCCGCCTCCCTTGGCCTTCCAAAGTGCTGTCATTACAGGCATGAGCCACAGTACCGGGCCTGTAGGGTGTAATTTACTTATATACCAAACCTGTATATGTACCCCTGAACCTAAAATAAAATTTGGAAGAAAAAAATAGATTTTGCATCATTTTACAGTCACAAAATTATTTTATTTTGCCCAGGAAAGACTATTGTTTCTTCATATTGTATACTCTGTGCTTACTAAAATTTTGTTGATATGGATAAAAGCAGAGCCATTCAAATTGTAAAGTTATTTGTAGAGTAGTGCTGCAGAATTGTAAATGCCTCATCCTGATATTGTATGATATTCAATTTCAGAATAAACTAAGTCCTGTAAGAACATTTGGCCCAGATGTTACTAAAAATAATTGTTGCTCTAAAATTTCACACAGAGAATAACATTCCATGGTCTTCTACTGTTATGCACTATTGCTTCATTTTTCCATTTGGGATTGAAAAGGAGAAATTTAGAAAAATATTTTAAAAGGATATATATTCTTGCTTTATAACCTCCAATATTCTGCTTCAGTTAAATCTAAATTGTTGTAAAGAGACAACTGTATACTTGTGTTTAAGCACTCATCTGATTAAATTGTTTGAAATTTAAGTTGGAAAGAGACAAGTCCACCTAAAGACAGATAGTAGGTAGCATACTATATGTTAGGACATGGAGCTAGTACAAGTAGGTTGGAAGGACAGAAAGTGATCTGTAGCAGCTGGATGGGAAGACTAGCTTCGTTTGGACATGGGACAGTTTGAAAGGTGGTCTTACTTTCAGTTTGAACCACAAGAGAAGCAGAAAGAGGCTTGGTTGTTCTGATAGTGAAGGAAATTCCTTAGAAGTTCTACTGAAGAAAGCCTTGGAATACAGAATTATAAAAAGTTTTAAACAGAATAAGCCAAACATGAGGTAGTGGGTAAGGGGAGGAAATAATACGCTGAAATGCCAATCTTTAGACCATAGTAGCTCTAAAATCTAGACCGCTAGAATATTGGATTGAACAGACAGCTGGCTGGAGATATCTGATTTTAGAGATGTCAGGGCAATTTTTGCAAGATAAATCTGATAGGTCAAAATTAGAGTAGTTTAAGCAGTGACTACTCTCATTTACACTTAATGATTAGTTTTGATGATACGTGATGCACCTAGGTGCCTATATATTTTTTCTTTTAATTTATGAATGATTTATGTATTTTTTTTTTTTTGAGAGGGAGTCTCGCTCTGTCCCCCAGGCTGGAGTGCAGTGGCGCCATCTCTGCTCACTGCAAGCTCCGCCTCCCGGGTTCACGCCATTCTCCTTGCTCAGCCTCCCCAGTACCTGGGACCACAGGCGCCCGACACCACGCCTGGCTAATTTTTTGTATTTTTAGTAGAGACGGGGTTTCACCATGTTAGCCAGGATGGTCTCGATCTCCTGACCTCGTGATCCGCCCGCCTCGGCCTTCCAAAGTGCTGGGATTACAGGCGTGAGCCACCGCACTCGGCCGGAATGATTTATGTTTTAAAATACATAATAGACTGTCCCAAATTCAAAAGGTTCAAAAGGATAAATAAGTCTTTCTTTATCCCTGGTGCTCCAGTTCTCCTCCTCAGAGACAACTGCTGTTTTTAATTCCATGTGTGCCTTCCGAGTATATTGTATGACTATATATACATAGATATAACTTTTAAAACACAAATTGTAACATACTACATATGCTATTCTGTGCCTTTTTTCATTTAACATGTCTTGAAGATTATTCTCTGTCAGTACATACAAAGTTGCCTTATGCTTTAAAGAAATGTTTTATTATGAAAAAGTTCAGACATACACACAACTAGAACGTATAATGGACCCCCAGGTAGCCATTACCCAGTTCAATGCATATATCAATATTTTGACATTCTTACTATGTATTAGATGATATTAAAAATTATTAACTTTGTTAGGTGAGATAGTGGTTTGGTGGTTATATTTAAAAAATGTTCTTAGAGAAGCATCTTGAAATATTTATGACTGAAATGATATGTTCTCTGACGTTTGAGATTTACTTTAAAATATATCAGAAGAAAAAAGTATGCGTGGAAGGAATAGCTTGAACCAAGATTGGCAAAATGTTGAAGTTAAGTGCATGCAGATTCATTATATCATTTTCTCTGCTCTTGTATATGTTAGAAAATTTCTATAATAAGAAATATATTTGCCAATCTGGTTCTATCTATAGCTCTCCCCCTTTTTTGGAAGTATTTAAAAATGAATCCTAGATATTATGTAATTTCATCCATAAATACTTCTGTATGTTTTTCTAATATTATAAGGACTTAAAAAAACACTACAAAGCCATTATCATATCTCAGAAAATTAACAGTAATTCTTAGTATAATCCAATATCCAGTCCATTTTCCAATTGCTCTGATTTTCTCAAAAATGTCTTTTTGCAGTTGGATTGTTTAAGAGTCAAATTAGGTCCACATATGGCATGTCTTAGGTCTTTCTTGATCTTTAATAATCAGATATTTTAAAAAATCAGATCTTTAAAAAACAGACACTTGTTTCTTTGAGAAACTGGCTCATCTATTCTGTAGAAGGCCCCACCTTCTGGATTTGACTGGTCGTTTCCTCCAGGTGTGGTTCAACTTGTTCCTCTATCCCTTATATTTGAGTCTTGATTAGATTTAGGTTCAGTATATTTGCCAAGACTCCTTCATAGGGGGTGCTTGCTCTGCTCTTCCTGCTGTATCATCTCAGGAAACCCATATTTCTCATGTTTCACTTTGAGTGATACTAAGATTTAGGAGAGGATTTGGGTGGTGTCAGCCTCATCTACCATCGACATTTCACTTGATGTTTTTGGCATGCAGTGATTATTAATGACTGAGTCCATTATTCCATTAGGGATTACAAAACGATTTTTAAATTCTTACATTCTGTTTATACTTATTACTTGGAATTGTTCTACAAAGAAGTTTCCCTCATGACTTTTTGATAAACCAAAGTATACAGTTGGCTTATTCTTTTTAACAACCACATAGCATTTTATTCTACTATAATTTAATTGGTCATCTATTATTTAAAGTATTTGCTCTTTTTGGTTTGTTTATATTTTTTCCAACTGTATTTTCTCATATACTTATGCATTTATAATGAATAGTAAACTATATAATTTTATAGTTATATTTTAATGGAAAAATAATTATCAGACTTTTTCACTCTGTGTGTATGAATTTAGTATAAATATAAGAGGCCAGACCTGTATTTTAACCCTTGGTTGGTTACTTATTTATCATATGATGATGGGGAAAATTATCCTTTCTTTTTTCTTTCCTTCAATTTATTAGTTCTAAGCCTCATTTTCTTAATTCATATACTGAGAATAATAACCAATTTCTGGATGGTTTTAAGGATTAAATTAAAAAACTATCAAAATGCTTGGTAAAGTTCCTAGCATAGAGTAAGTGCTCATTAAAATGAACTTTCTGCTAAAATTTGAGGAATAGATGGAATAGCACATGCAAATTCTGTTGGATAGGGCTTAGCAAATAGATGTTCAATAAATAGTGCCACTTTTCTCCATTTCTTAATTTTTCCCCAATCTTAGTAGTAATGAATATTACTTTTTTTCCCTAGGCTGTTTTCAGGAGTAATAAATAAATAGACCTTAGGTGCCCTGAGGTTTTTGCTGTGAAGGGTCATTCTGTTGGCCTTTATGGAGACTTATCTGGAATTGCTGGGTCACAGCTTTCTATCCTGGGAGGCTGATATGGTTTGGCTTTGTGTCCCTACCCAAATCTCATCTCAAATTATAATCCCCATGTGTTGAAGGAGGGACCTGATGAGAGGTAATTGGATCATGGGGGCAGTTTCCTCCATGCTGTTCTCATGATAGTTTGTGAGTTCTCATGAGAGCTGATGGTTTTAAAGTGTGGCACTTCCTCGCTCTCTCTCCCTCCTGCCACCTTGTGAAGAAGGTGCCTTGCTTCCCCTTCTGCCATGATTGTAAGTTTCCTGAGGCTTCCCCAGCCATACAGAACCTCTTTTATTTATAAATTACCCAGTCTCAGGTAGTATCTTTATAGCAGTGTGAGAAAGGACTAATAAAGAGAATTGGTACCAAGGTAGTGGGGCACTGCTATAATGATAACCTGAAAATGTGGATGTGACTTTGGAACTGGGTAACAGGTAGAGTTTGAAAGAGTTTTGAGGGCTCAGAAGAAGACAGGGAGATGAAGGAAAGTTTGGAACTTCCTAGAGACTTGTTGAATGGTTTTGACCAAAATGCTGATAGTGATATGGACAATGAAGTCCAGGCTGAGGTGGTCTCATATGGAGATGAGGAACTTATTGGGAACTGGAGTAAAGGTCACTCTTGCCATGCTTTAGCAAAGAGACTGGTGGCATTTTGCCCCTGCACTGAAGATGTGTGAAACTTTGAACTTGAGAGAGATGATTTAGGGTATCTGGCAGAAGACATTTCTAAGCAGCAAACCATTCAAGAGGTGACCTGGTTTTTCCTGAAAGTGCACAGTGATATGTGCTCACAAAAAGATGACTTGAAATTGGAACTTATGTTTAAAAGGGAAACAGAGCATAAAAGTTTGGAAAATTTGTTGCCTGACCATATGGTAGAAAAGAAAAACCCATTTTCTGGGGAGAAATTCAAGCCAGATGCATAAATTTGCATAAGTAACAAGGAGCCAAATGTTAATCACCAAGAAAATAGGGAAAATGTCTCCAAGGCATGCCAGAGGTCTTCAAGGCAGCCCCTCCCATCACAGGTGCAGAGGTCTAGGAGGATAAAATGGTTTCATGGGCCAGGTCCAAGGCTGCTCTGCTCTGTGCAGCCTTGGGACAGGGCACCCTGCATCCCAGCAGCTCCAGTTCCAGCTGTGGCTAAAAGGGGGCCCATGTACAGCTCAGTCTGTTGCTTCAGAGGGTGTAAGCCCCAAACCTTGGCAACGTCCATGTGGTGTTGGGCCTGTGGGTACACAGAGGCAAGTGTTGAGGTATGGGAAGCTCTGCCTAGATTTCAGAGGATGTATGGAAATGCCTGGAAGTCCACATGAAAGTCTGCTGCAGCTGCAGGGATGGAGCCCTCATGGCGAACCTCTGCTGGGGCAATGCAGAAGGGAAATGTGGGTTTGGAGACCTCACACACAGTCCCCACTGGAGCTCTGCCTAGTGAAGCTGTGAGAAGAGGGCCACCATCCTCCAGACCCAAGAATGGTAGATCCACCAACAGCTTGCACTGTGTGCCTGGAAAAGTGCAGGCACTCAATATCAGCCCATGAAAGCAGCCTCAGGGGCTGTACCCTGCAGAGCCACAGGAGTGGAGCTGCCCATGGCCTTGGAAGCCCACCCCTTGCATCAGCATTCCCTGGATGTGAGACATGGAGTTAAAGGAGGTTATTTTGGAGCTTTAAGGTTTAATGACCACCTGGCTGGGTTTTGGATTTGCATGGGTCCTGTGGCCCCTTTGTTTTGGCCAATTTATCCCATTTGGAATGGGAACATTTACCCAATGCCTGTACCTCATTGTATCTTGGAAATAACTTGCTTTTGATTTTACAGGCTCATAGGCAGAAGGGACTTGCCTTGTCTCAGATTAGACTTTGCACTTAGACTTTTGAGTTAATGCTGGGATGAGTTAAGACTTTGGGGGACTATTGGGAAGGCATGATTGGTTTCAAAATGTGAAAATGACATGAGATTTGGGAGGATCCAGGGGTAGAATGATATGGTTTGGCTCTGTGTCCCCACCCAAATCTCATCTTGAATTGTAGTCCCCACATGTTGAGGGAGGGACATGGTGGGAGGTGGATCATGGGGGCAGTTTCCCCTGTGCTGTTCTTATAATAGTGAGTGAGTTCTCATGAGAGCTGATGGTTTTAAAGTGTGGCACTTCCTCATTCTCTCTCTCTTTCCTGCCACCTTGTGAAGAAAGTGCCTGCTTCCCCTTCCCCTTCTGCCATGATTGTAAGTTCCCTGAGGCCTCCCCAGCCATGCAGAACTGTGAGTCAATTAAACCTTTTTTATTTATAAATTATCCAGCCTCGGGTAGTATCTTTACAGCAGTGTGAGAATGGACTAATACAGAGGCCCTGCTGCATACTGGGAAATGCCTGCTTTTCAGGCAGTCCCAATCTGGAAAGGCTCAGATGGAATGCAAACAGCACTTCATTTAACCCTGAGTTGTGGAACTAGAGTGAATGTTCCTCTCCTTCTCTCTCTTGGACTTCCTACCTCATCCTTGGTTTCCAGTTCATTGTTAGGATTAGAAAGTTATCCTAATAGGCTGGGCGCATGGCTCATGCCTGTAATCCCAGCACTTTGGGAGGCCAAGGTGAGTGGATCACCTGAGGTCAGGAGTTCAAGACCAGCCTGGCCAACATGGTGAAACCCTGTCTCTAATAAAAATACAAAAAATTAGCCAGGCATGGTGGCGCATGCCTGTAATCCCAGCTACTCGGGAGGCTGAGGCAGGAGAATAGCTTGAACCTGGGAGGCAGAGGTTGCCGTGAGTCGAGATTGTGCCACTGCACTCCAGCCTGGGTGATATGCTAAATTATCTTTTCTAGTAACTCACAATACTACCGTTTCTCCTGTGCCTTTGGTATTTCACTTTCTCATAGGTTCTTCATCTTTGTAACATCTTAGGCCTTAGCTTTAGTCTTCAACTTTCCCCTATCAAATAATGGCCAATTTTTCCTCTTTCCTCTGTGGACTTCTGGCATCTTCTCTTCTGTTCCTTTCTCCCCTCCTTTTGTAATCTTTCCATTCTCAGAAGCACCATCTGTCCATGAAGACATTTTGCACCCCTCGTTTGGTAACACTTTGTCCATGTGATGGATAGAGCTAGCCTTTCTCAGCATTACCTCATTTCTTTTTCCTATGTTTCTAGGTAATAGCTGACACATACTGTACTTTCATTCACAGGTCCCAGTTTTAAAATATACAGAAGGCAGAAAGGTTAAGTGATTTGAAAATGTGTGCTGAAGATAATATAGTATCAGCACTGTAAACTGGAAAAGAACAATTGGCTCCCTGATGCTCAGGATCAGGCTTTTTTTTTTCAATGAAATCTGCTGATGGAGCATACACATATTTTAGTGACAGCCTGGAAAACAAGAGCCATTTTTGGTCATTCTAGTGCATTCCTTCTATTTTGATGTAAGGTTATTATGAATATGTGCTGAGTCTTTAAAGAGTAGATGATACCAAATATTTTGACAAATTCGAATGGTTTTCCTAATGTATTAAGGTGTGGTTTGGATAAAATGAATGCCATTCTGTGTATTAATTCAGATTTGGAGCATCAAAAACTATCACAAAATGGCACTGCTTCTCAAATAAAAGGTGAAGTGTAAAGTAAAGGGAAAACATCAAAGAACAAGGAAGCGGCTTATTTTTTCAATTGTTTTACAATTAATCCATGATATGTCAGTTCAGATGTCAATGACCAGCTTTAAGGCAATAATGATCCATGTCTGCTCTTTATCCTGGGTATAGAGATTTTTTGATTGAAGGATGACTTTAAAGAGAATTATATGCAACAGTTGAAATTTTGCCTTGCACATTCTTTGTACCATATTTTTCCTTCAGGGAAAAACCTCTTAAAAATGCCTATTTGTAATCTTTCTTGGCCAGGTTTGTACTCTTCTGTATGTTGAGCTATGGCCTATTGTTTCCATTCATTCGATAATAATTGTGATTCATTTGATAATAATTTATTAAGCAATTACTATATGCTAGGTCTTGTGCTATGTGCTGGAGGTACAAAGATGTATAGGACATGGTCCTGGTCCTTGTCCTTCCTCTAACAGCAGGCTTTAGATCAAACATCTCTGCTTGAATTAACAGGGTTTCCCAGTGTGGTTTGTAGATCAACTGCATATTCAGCTACTGAATCAGAATCTTGGGATGGACTTAGGAATCTGTATTTTCATCTGATGACTCTTATGCACTGGCCCAGGACATGGTAGGAGTGAGGTAGTTAATAGGGAGATACAGTGATACAGCACATTCCTCAGAGAGAGCTTCCATTCAGCTTTGATATTTCTGGGAGTTTCCTCAGAAGGGGAACAATTTGCCTGGCTTGAAGGTTCCTCTGGAGGTGGCAGGCTGAAGTGCTACTGTAAATTCTAGAATGGTGCAAATTCTGTCCTCCAGAAAATCAGTTCTGGATCAAGGGGCAGATTCTGGGTTAGGTTGGGAGTGCTGGATGCGGGGATAAGGGCCACAGGCTTATATACCCAGAGGGTCCATAATGTAGCCCCTGGGGTGTCCAAAGAGGAAGAATATAGCTGACAGCTAATACAATTAGGATTCATTTAGGGACGGAAAAATGCAAAGATAAAACAATAAGAGTTAACACATATACAATGTCTTATATGCCTAAGTGCTGTGCAAAGCACTTTGCATAAATTAATTAATCCTAATAATAATCCTATGAGGTGAGTCTAGTAGCATCATCCTCATTTTACAGATAAGGAAACAGAGAAGTTAAGTAATTTGCTCAAAGTCACACAGTATAAGCCAGGATTCCAACCCAGGGAGTGTGATGCAGAATGTAAGCTCATTCAGCTGCCTCTTAGAAGCATCATCATTTAAAATGCAGAAAGTACAGTGGGGGTTTAAACTCACATCTTTCCTGCTGTTATATACTTGAGTATCCATATCTTTCAGCTTTTCACCAAAATAATACTTTCCCTTCCCCACAAGGAACACTTCTGGAAGTCCTGACAACTGCCTTCTTAAATGCCTTCAGGGCTGGTTTCTTCTGTTTTAGAGAAGAAATTACACCCTTCCCTTTGCTGTTACCTTGTAATCTAGATGCATATGAAAAGCCCCTTTACAGCAGATCTGGTCCTTCACTGCCTGAAGACTGGATGCACTATTTTTAGAGACAAAGCCACAATATCTTAGTCTTTAAGCAAGTGTGTGATACAAGAAAACGCACAGTGCATATTTAGAAGGCTGAACAACTTTTCAGTTTCTTTTTTAAAATTTTAATTGCAGATTGGGTGTCTGAAGGCTTTCATGTTATACGTTCAGTAAATATGGGTCATTAATAAAAAGTTGAAAAAATGTTAACAAGGGAAAATACATTTGAGGCAAGTCTGAGCTTCCAACAGGGAGAGTTATTTGACCTGAGTTCTTTTTCAGGAGCTATGTAACATTATTACATATTGAGCTGATGATAGACATCTGGCATGCAAACAGATCTGAAGGTGCATTGAATCAGAAGGAAAACTGTGGACTGTGAGATGGTTCTCTCTTATTCTGTAGAATGAAGAGTGAGAGGCTGCCATTTCTTGGAAATTATGCCCAAATGGCCTGACAAATTGGGCTTTATCCTGGCTTCCTTGTTTGGAGAATTAAACCCACAAAACATTATCTTACTGACCGAATCATTCTTAGGTATAGGTTTGCTCCATAAACTCTTACTCTTCCATTCAACAAACACCCTCGCCTAGCTGTGTCCGCACTTGTAGCCCTACCACAGGGCAAAGTTACTTCTAGCTATGGACAGATACATGAAGTTCTCACAGAAATGACTGTTGACCCCACTGAAAATCCAAAAACAAATTATTTTTATTAATTTAAAGTAATTATTTTCCCATTAAAAATAATATGTGCTTCTTATTAAACAAATCCAATAGAAGAAGACGTCTTTGAAGAGGTGAATGATCTTCACCCAAAATTATTTTCTTTTTCTTTTCTTTTTTTTTTGAGATGGAGCCTCTTGCTCTGTTGTCCAGGCTGGAGTGCAGTGATATGATCTCAGCTCACTGCAACCTCTGCCTCCCAGGTTCAAGTGATTCTCCTGCCTCAGCCTCCCCAGTAGCTGGAATTACAGGCGCCCACAACCACACCTGGCTAATTTTTGTATTTTAGTAGAGATGGGGGTTTCACCATGTTGGCCAGTCTTGTCTCGAAATCCTGACCTCAGGTGATCCGCCCACCTCAGCCTCCCAAAGTGCTGGGATTACAGGCGTGAGCTACCACGCCCGGCCCAAATTATTTTCAATGTTGACAAATATCTGGTGCTTCTCTTAAAATAACATTCCCACTGAAGAAAGCAATAGTTTAAATCTCTGAAAAATAGAGTAATGATTCGTAAGAGTTATTCCTTTACCTTAATCCAGTGGTCCCCAACCTTTTTGGCACGAGGGACGGGTTTCATGGAAGACAATTTTTGCATGGACTTGGGGGCGAAGAATGGCTTCAGGATGAAATTGTTCCACCACAGATCATCAGGCATTAGTTAGAGATTTTCATAAGAAGCCCGTAACTTAGATCCCTTGCATGTGCAGTTCACAATAGGGTTCGTGCTCCTATGAGAATCTAATGCCACCACTGATCTGACAGGAGGTGGAGCTCAGGCCTAAAGCTCGCTGGCCCACTGGCCGCTCAGCTCCTGCTGTGCGGCCCGCTTCCTGTTGGGCCGCAGACTGGGGACTGGGGACCGCTGCCTTAATCTATTAAGCAATTATATTAGTTTCTTGTTGCTGCTGTAACAAAGCTCTATTTAAGACAAAAGACATTTATTATCTTACAATTAGAGATCAGAAGTCCCAAATGGGTTTCACTAGGGCTGAAAGCGAGGTGCCCGCAGGGCTGTGGGCTCTCTGAAGGCTCTAGGGAGAATCTGTTTTCTTTCCTTTTCCTCTAGTTGCCTGGGGACAACCGTCTTCAAAGCACACCACTCCAACCTCTGGTTCTGTTGTCACATCACCTTCTTCCTCTTTGACTCTCTTTCCTTTCTCATATAAGGAGCCTTGTATTACATTGGGTCCACCTGGACAATCCAGGATAACCTCCCCAACTCAAAATCCTTAATTTAATCACACATGCAAAGTCCCGTTTGCCGTATAAAATGACATTTAAGGGTTCCAGGGATTAGGTGATGGACATGTTTGAGGAGTTGGTGTTATTTAGCCTTCACGGAGATGTACAACTCAGATTTGCTAAAAGATTTTGTGTACTAGAAATTTATATTAAATTAGCACTTCTTCCTCAACTCTTTTTTTCTGTTTTCATCCCAAGTACCCAAAGCTCCATTAAGATCTCACATTTGATTTATCTGAGAACTCTCAACAGTGGTATGAAGAGGCTGCGAGAACAACATTTTCCAAACAGAAACTCTAGTGGCCCAGCAATGTTAGGAGGTGTTCTATGTTAAAAAGTGTTCTGATTTAGATAAGATTAAAAAACAAAACATTGCATGTGCCATTCCACCCACCTTCATCTTTAATACACATTAGCATATGGAAAAGGTACTGAGAATTCTATTGTCTGTGATTCCCAAGTGCGTTTTTGCACTTGGGAAAAAATGCAATTTTTCCCAAAATGAATGAATTTCCCAAAAAATGAAAATTTTTTTTCTTTTTCTCTCTTTTTTAGAATGCTTATGGATCACCTCAAGGAATACCAATGTATTATGTTTGAGAAATGTTGTCCTTAATGTATTATAGTTTTTCGTTCTAAAACTTAACTACGTTACCCTGAAAAAATAAATACAAAAGGCATATTGGAGCTGATTCTAAATATCTTCTAAATGACAGCTCTCCTGTTTAATCTTCCTTCTACCTATGCAGAACTTAGGTTTTTTTGGACTTTAAAGCAATTGACTCTCAAAACCTAATGCTACAAAAACCTTGGTTCTGTAAATAAGTATTTAGAATAATATTATATGCATACAACAATTTTGTGCTAGACAACACAAAATTGTTCTGGAAAAAGTAAGATAATCCTTTGAATGTTTTTCAAGATGTGTGGAAAAATTTACTATTGTGAATAGTATGTCAGACTCACAGGACTGAAATATATCTTAAAAAGCTGTATTCACCATTTCCCTATTTTGAGAAGGTAAAGTGGTCGAGAATGGTACTTAATAACTTACATGATTCACCTGACAGCTCCCGACAATGGTGTGAAGAGGGCCTTAGCCTTCTCACCTGGGTTCATGATTGGACTACCCTTAGCATAGGGTGGCAATGCAATCTTTGCCAGATAAGACTTTCTTTGCACCTTCCTTGTCCCTTTCTTATGACAACGATTATATTTTATCATACATTATTACTTACATGTTATCGCTTATCTGCCCAAAGTAAAGCTCTTGAAGGCAAGGGCCATAACTGTACCCCTCATGAGGCCTGGCTTTTCCTTTATCAGGAACTGTGCCAATGTTTGCAAATGAGTGACTTAGGATGGAAATTTTAGCAATGTCAGGTGTGTACTTCAATCATCCATCAGTTGATCCATCCATGTATACTTTTTTCTACTTAAAGTTTAAGAAACTCACAAAAATATATGTAGAACAAGGAGAAAGTTAAATCAAAATAGGTAAAATACCTAAGGCAAAGGAAGACAAGGTTTGGAAAGTAAAATGGATTTAGGAGTGAGCCTAGTTCTTAAAAATATTTGTCATAAAATTTTATGCATCTGTAGGGGGAGGACATTGTTTGGTGTTAAGGTTACTAGGAGCCAGTGAAGAAAGCAATTGGTTATTTGATTTTTAGTATCCATAAAATTAAGATGTCAGTTGCTCACATGAATCATAGCTATTCCTAGAACCAGAATCAATGAGAAAATCCTCTCATGGGATATCAGAAGGAGTTTGCTGTGTAATATAAGGAATAACGTAAAAACATATTCAACTTATCTTTACACCAAGCACAGCAACATATTTCAGAGAGAAATTTCTTATATCAGTCTTGGTTTATATGATAGTATCCCCACTGTGACGACGTAACTTAAATAAGAAGTACAGCTGTAGAAAGGAGTAGACATTGGTTCATAAAAATCCTACCATGCTAACAAAATTGCAAAACACTTATCAAAACTTTTTATTTTGGTAAAATCTGTACTTAAAATATGAGTATAAAAGTTCACCAGCAAGTAAAAGAATGTGGAGTAATGCAACATATATTGCCTAATTATTAGAATAAATAAATTGTAATCAACAGTATAATCAATTTTCTGAGGTTAGGGCTCAAATATTGATGAACATTATGTACTTAGGTGTTTTTTTTTTTGACTTTTCCCTGTATATATAACTTCAGGATGCAGCAAATAGGACTAGTTATTAAACAACAGGGACAAAGTTAGTTAAATATAGAATAGATTTCTTCCTTAGGTTGCAATTTAAGCTTCTTTTTAGTAGAAGGAAACTGACTCTAGTGAGATTTCATAGATACCAATTATCCCAGAAAATGATGACCTAAGAGGAAGGTGTGAGAATAGAAACCAATTAATTAAGGGCAGGTACGTGGAGCCCTCTCCTGGGGTTGGGGAAGTTGAATGGAAGTGTTCTAACTGCAGGGATGTGATAGATGGAAATCGTGTGTCTTCTGGGAAATTAACTGACATTCACTTCCCTTCCTTTGTGTCTGTGTGGGTTTAATATTGCCATCATGTAATAGAGGCACCACCAATGTTAGTTTGGAAATACCTGTCAACGTACAAGTATTTACTAAAAAAGTTTACAGAAATGTAGATTCTCAAGTTATTTTTAAATGTTGGTGATTTTCTTGGGATGTTGTCTTCACATCGGTGGTTCTGGGGTAGGATCAAAACTTACCTTGACTTCCTTCCTTATTTCTGGTGTTATGACTGATGGGCGTGCCCAACCAGATCCAGGACAGTAAATACATCCTCTTATTTGGTTTCTAATTCCTTTGAGTTACCATGGCTTTACTTTGCCCCACACTTAGGAATTTGGGCAAACCTGTATATGTTTTTCTCCATTTCTTCTTACTTCTTGAAACAGTAGTCTTTCCTAACTGAATCTGCTTCTTTCCTTCCTATTAAATTTTTTTCTTTCTTTCTTTTTTTTGAGATAGGGTCTCACTTTGTCTCCCAGGCTGGAGTGCAGTGGCACAATTACGGCTCACTGCAGCCTCTCTGGCTCAAGGGATCCTCCCACCTCAGCCTCTTAAGTAGCTGGGACTACAAGCGTCCCACCACACCTAGCTAAGTACTTTTTGTACTTTTTGTAGAGACAGGGTTTTGCTACGTTGCCCAGGCTGGCCTCCAACTCTGGGCTCAATCGATCTGCCCTGCTTAGCCTCCCAAAGTGCTAGCTAGGATTACAGACATGAGCCACCGCACCCAACCCTATTAACTTTTAATAGGCCATTCGTCCACCCTATTACTTCACTGACATTGTTCTGGCCAAAGTCACGAAATTCATTAGCTTCTTTTTAATCTCCATCTTAGTTTCCTTCTGCCCCATTTTATATTCCTAAATGGGTCTTCCTTTTTGAAACACTCCTCTCCTCTCTCTTGATCTCTTCCTGTCTCTGTGGTTTTCCTTCTTTTCAGTCTCATCAAAGGGCCTCTGCTCACCTTTTAGACATTGGCTATTTATTATTGTGCTCCTTTAAGTTTCTTTTCTTCTTTTCCTGGGTAATCTCATTCATCCTCATGTTTCAATATATGTTGATGATCCCTGCATCAGTCAGAGTGAGGCTAAGCTGCTGTAACAAAGAGGTAGATGGGTCGTTTTGCCCATGAGGTCATCAAAGAACTCAGTTTTCATCTCTCTTGTTGCTCCACCATTCCCTAATGTGTTATCCTTATCTACAAAATCCGGAGTAGTTTAGCAGCACCATGTCTGTGTTCCAATATCCAGGAAACGAAGGTCAAGACTTCCCTCCTGAGGAAGTGGTAAAGAACTTGTACACAACAGTTGTGCTGAAATTACATCGATGAGGATATAGTCACATGGCCATATGTAGCTTCAAGAGAGGCTGGGCAATCAGTAGTCACATACTCTGTGAAAACTGTGAGTATAATAACTTCAAAGAAGAAAAAGAGAAGGGATAGAAGGACAAAATTATGGTCTCTGCTCAAATACCTTCAGCCTCCACTCTCTGATACTTCAGGTCTACAGATCCGGCTGCTTTGTGATGTCTTCTGTGTGTCCTGTGGATACTGCAAACTCAGCATGTCAAAACAAAACAAAAACTCAACTAGTCGTTTTCTACTAAGTTTGCTGCTCCTACCACTTTTCTCTCTCTCAGTGGTATTGTTACTCAGTTGTTCGAACTAGAAATCTCAATCATTCTTGATTCTTCTTTATATCTTACTCTCCACAGAAAATTTGTTACCGAGTTCTATTTAATGCTTGAATCTATCCTGCTACCACTGTCTATGTCTATTGAGACCCTAAAAAAACTCTATCTTGTATTATTTCAGAAGCCTCCTAACTGGTCTTCAGCGCAAAAATTGTTTCCTTAGGTGACCTGTCCTCTGCACGGCTACCATATTTGTCTTTCTAAAGTACATATGGGATAACTTCATTTTAAAATATCTGTAATGACCTTCCATTTGCCACTGTGTATCTTCTTTAAGTATGATTTTTAGAAATTGACCTCCTTTTCCCCCTTAAAATAAAGCCTATATAAACCCCTTCAATATATAAAAAAATAAATAAATGCAGAACTTCTTGTATGGCATTGTCCTTAGAGGGTAGTTTGAAAATTGCTGGCCTACAGGATTTTAATTTAGGTTACTTGCTAGTAACTAGAAGGCCCTTCACAGTCTAGTTCTAGCTGACTTTCCCAAACTTACCTGTAGCCAGAATTCTCATCATCTTCCCTGTTCTAGTCACAGTGCATTGCTTGCTTCTCTCACACATGGCTGGCACTTATAGGTCTATGTTTGTTCCTGTTTCTTCAGTAACGAGTGGTGTCTGCCCATCATTCATTGAGCACAGAATGACTCACCTGAAAGAGCATGCGATTTGGAGCGAGGCAGACCTGGATTAAGAGCTCATCTCTGCCTTAGTTTCCTCATCAGAAAAATCAATTATTTTATTTTATTTTAATTAATGTATTTATTTGAGACAGAGTCTCACTCTGTCACCGAGGCTGGAGTGCAGTGGCACAATCTTGGGTCACTCCACCTCCACCTCCTGGGTTCAAGCGATTCACCTGTAGCTTCCACCTCCTGGGTTCAAGCGATTCTCCTGCCTCAGCTTCCCAAGTAGCTGGGATTACAGGTGCACACCACCAAGCCCAGCTAATTTTTTATATTTTTTGGTAGAGACAGGGTTTCACCACATTGGCTAGGCTGGTCTCAAACTCCTGACCTCAGGTGATCCACCTGCCTTGGCCTCCCAAAGTGCGGGGATTCTAGGCATGAGCCACCACACCCTGCCAGAAAAATGGATTTAAAAAGAGAATTACATAAAGTACCGAGGCCATAGTAGAGCTTCAAAATGTCAGTTCCTTCCTTCTCCTTCTCAAACGTCACTTCTACTCTGTAATTTTTTGTGTGAGTACAAGAAAAAATAGTTTTCTCCAATCTGTGTTTTTATAGCATTTTATAATGCTTCTGTTATATAAGTTTTATTATTATATTTATTTATGTTTTTGGTTGTCTCACCTGCTGGACTTTGAGCTCCTTGAAGGTAGGAGTCTTGACTTACTCACCTTTGATCCTTAGTGCCTAGCAAAAATAGACATGGAATAAATGCCTATTAAATTGAATTGCATTGAATTGAATAGAAATAAATTAAAGTAGAAAAATAAAGGTCAACCCATTTCCTTGGCTTTGACTTACCTTCCCCAAAAGAATGGAGAAGAGTTTGATGAATGTGTGAATGCTGTTTTGTAATAGAAAGAAGCAGTCTTCTGATTCTGAATATAAATAGCAACTGCTGGGCTGTGAAACAATCTGCAAAATTGCATTTATCCTGGAGTGTTTTGTTTTGGCATCAGTGGGATAGAATGTAGTTTCATAGTCCATGTTTATTGAACCATGTAAGGGATTTACAGGAGCATCTGTATGGAGGCCAAAGTTAAAGTGGGGCACTGTCCCAAAAAAGTGACATGTAAGACAAATTGATGTATTCAAGCATTCAGAGTTGACAACATAATCTGCTATTTTTATAGAGGACATTTTGGCAGTAGGTGTAGGGTGTTTATATATGTGACAAAACCAAGCTTAATATCCACTCCCCTCAATCCTCTTACAAATACCTCTTCTTTACATCTCTATTTCTTTTAATGACGTTAAAAGAAATACCAGTCTTTGTGTTATTCAAGTTTCCAAAGTTTGAAATCTTGAAATTCTCTTTTTCTTTTCTTGTGTCCACTTCAATTAATAGTTGCCTAAGCCCAATCAATTCTATAGCAGTTCTTACATTCTCTCTCTCCCCCAGCTCTCTTCACTGCACATACCTGGTTTATTACTCCTTTCTGGATTTCCATTTCTCCTTCTTCTTTGTTATCTCTTACCTGTCGAGGCTAGTTAATATGCTGCCTCTAGTTTATAGTTCTTAAAGAAAAGTAGCATATGTCTAGTCATAGATCTGTTCAGAATACTTAGTTTCCTCATTGCTGTCCAGAAATGTCTAAATGTCTCTAAGATCTATCTTTAATTTACCTTTCCAGCTTCATCTTTTGTTCCCTTCTTCTAATCCTTATACAGATTTGATGGTTTAATCAAACAGGGTTGTGATGGTTAACTTTACATGTCAACTTGAGTGGGCAAAGGGATGCCCAGATAGTTGGTGAACATTATTTCTGGGTGTGTCTGTGAGGGTGTTTCCAAAAGAGGTTAGCACTTGAATCAGTAGACTGAGTAAAGAAGATCTGCCCTCACCAATATCGGCGGGCATCCTCCAATCTGGTGAGGACCTGAATAGAACAAAAAGGTGAAGGAAGGGTGAATTCTCTTCTTGAGCTGGGACATCTATCTTCTCCTATCCTTGGGCATCAGAGCTCCTGGTTCTTGGGCCTTTGGATTTCAAGATTTATACCACTGGATCCCTTACCCCCACTTTCATTCTCAGGTCTTCAGCCTCAAACTGAGAGTTACACTATCAACTTCCCTGTTTCTCAGGCCTTTGAACTTGGACTGAAGGGCATCAATTTGCAGATGGCATAATGGTGGGACTTCTCGAACTCTATAATCATGTGAACCAGTTTCCATAAGAAATTTCATCTATCTATCTATCTATCTATCTATCTATCTATCTATCTATCTATCTATCTAATTTGTTCATCCATCCATCCATTCATCTGTCCATCCATCCATCCATCCATCCATCCACCCATTCATCTCTCTGTCCATTATATTTGTTCTGTTTCTCTGGAGAACCTTGACAAGTACAGGGTTTAAGAGTTGTTGTTCGTTTCTTTTTTTTTTTTTTTTTTCATAGTGCCTCCAGTTTTTTTTAACATTTCCTGTGCTAGTCTTTTTTTTTTTTTTTTTTTTTTTTTTTTTTGAGACAGAGTCTCTCTCTGTCTCCCAAGCTGGAGTGCAGTGGCACGATCTTGGCTCACTGCAAGCTCCGCCTCCCAGATTCACACCATTCTCCTGCCTCAGCCTCCCAAGTAGATGGGACTACAGGTGCCCACCACCACGCCCAGCTAATTTTTTGTATTTTTAGTAGAGACGGGATTTCACCGTGTTAGCCAGGATGATCTCGATCTCCTGACCTCGTGATCCGCCCGCCTCTGCCTCCCAAAGTGCTGGGAGTATAGGTGCAAGTCACTGCGCCTGACCTTCCTGTGCTAATCTTTTTGCTTGGGATGCACGAGAATGCTTTAGTGACTCTTCTTTGATCATTTATCTCTCCGCCATCTTTTGCCCATTTCTTTACATTCACCCTTAAAAAATTTAGTTTCAACTCTGATGTATATGTTGATACTTCTGAAATCAGCAACACCATGTATGATTTCGTTACTTGAAGGACATTACTAAGGTTTTATGGGACCAATAAATAGCACTCGTCCTCTATACCTGAGGTCGGAACCAGTAGAGGGATACACTAGAAGTAAGACAGATGAAGACCAAAATGCTGTCTTCATTAATAATAGAGCTGAAACCAGAAAACGTGGCTTATAGTTGTGGAAACTGGACTTCCTAATACTGAATCTCAAATTATATAGGCCACTTTGAGACTTAAGGAAGGTGGGGTAGAAGAGAATGCACCCCTTGTTAATAATTGCCATCCAAAGATAACGAGGAGAGGAAATCTCAGTGCTTTCCGTGTCCAGCTTTTGCTCCCAAGTTCCCCAGTCAACCTCACGTGGGGAGGGGTGAGCGAGGAGGTGGAGTGAGACCAAGGTAGTGACACTTCTGGACATCCCTCCACATGGAGGAAACTTTGGGAGTGAGAAGAGCATTTCTCCCATACCTTCTGTGGCTATCTTCCCAAATATCCCACCATCACCTCAAGTCCACTCTCATCACATTCTCCTCAAAGCTACTTTCTTCTCCACTTGCTAGGTTTCGCTAGAACTTTGTGTCAGTTTTGATTCACCTTCCCTCATGTGCCATAGAGTCGAATATTAAAGTACAATTACTTTTCTTTTTCTTTTTTTTTTTTGAGATGGAGTCTTGCTCTGTCACCCAGGCTAGAGTGCAATGGCATGGTCTCAGCTCATTGCAACTTCCACCCCCCAGGTTCAAGTGATTCTCCTGCCTCAGCCTCCCGAGTAGCTGGCACTACAGGTGCATGCCACCACACCTGGCTAATTTTTGTATTTTTAGTAGAGACGAGGTTTCACCGTGTTGGTTAGGGTGATCTCGAACTGCTGACCTCGTGATCCACCTGCCTTGGCCTCCCAAAGTGTTGGGATTACAGGCCTGAGCCACCGCACCTGGCCACAATTACTTTTCTTTAAAATACTTCTTTTACTTGTCCCTTCTTCAACAGTGCTGTCACAAACCTATGATGAAGCCTAAGCACCCTAAATAGGTTTGTCAAATCTGTCAGTGTTTTCCTTTGCTTCTAGTTTGCTTTCTGAAGAAGGTTGTTCATAAATCTGTTGTATCTTAGACTAGATAGAAACTGGAATTTAAGTCTTCCTCTATTGCTCTAATACGTATTATCCTTTTTACAACATTCTCCAACATGTAACAGAACTTTAGAAAAGATGATGGTTTTGGAACACACCATGCTCATTCCTATATGCACCTTTGCCCAGTGGACCTTTTTGCCTGAAAAGCAAACCCTTGACTCTTCATATTCTTCATCTTCTAACTCAATTTCCACCCAGATGGCTCTCTGTGTACTCTAGATCACACCTCTGAGATTGTACTTAAAAGTCAGTATTTAAAATTAGGAACTTGGTTGTTATCAAATTGCTTATGTTTCTTTTAAAAAATCTCTTTCCAACTTATTTTGAAGGAATTCTTATACATTTTATGTCTGTCCACCCTTTCCCAACATTTCTAGTATAGGCTAAACACATAGGAAATAATTAGTAAATTGTATGACTTGATCAATAGAGAATCTTAGGATAGTATGAATTATTTAATATGTTTGAAGTTAAATATCTAGGGGAAGATACGAGTCTTAAAAAACAACAAACATTTCTTCTATGTTTCCTAATTTAGAATTTTCTTAAATGAACAGATGTTTACACATATCCTATTTAAAATTCTTCTGATGCATTCCTTGTTGGATAATAATACCCTTTTCTTCGGTGAATCCCAAGTGAGAGTATTGGAATGGAATACTGACAGGAAAAAAATGTTCTCAAGATAACACATGGCCTCAATCAAGAAAGCATCAGAAGAAATGAAGCAGGAATTTGGAGAAAAGACAGATCGTCGTCTAGGCTCATTGATTTTAAAAGAAAACATTTGGGTGCATGTAATATTTAAAGTCACTTTGTGGACCTTCCTTGTTGGAAATTTGTTGTTATTGTTGTTTTGGAGACAGGGTTTCACTCTGTTGCCCAGGCTGGAGTGCAGTAGCATGATCATGGCTCGCTACAGCCTCAACTGCAAATGTGTGCCACCACATCTGGCTAATTTTTTTTTTTTTGAGACGAAGTCTCGCTCTCTCGCCAGGCTAGAGTGCTGTGGCGTGATCTCGGCTCACTGCAACCTCCAACTCCCTGGTTCAAGGGATTCTCCTGCCTCCGCCTCCCAAGTAGCTGGGATTACAGGCATGCACTACCACACCTGGCTATTTTTTGTATTTTTAGTAGAGATGGGGTTTCACTATGTTGGCCAGGATGGTCTCGATCTCCTGACCTCTTGATCCGCCCACCTCGGCCTCCCAAAGTGCTGGGATTGCAGGCGTGAGCCACCATGCCCGGCCTTTTTTTTTTTAATTTGTAGAGATGAGGTCCTGCTATGATGCCAGGCTTGTCTTGAGCTTTTGGGCTCAAAGCAATCCTCCTGCCTTGGCCTTCCAAAGTTCTGTGATTACAAGTGTGAGTCACCACGCTCAGCCTAAAATGCTCTTGATTTATAATGACTCCTATTTGTCTCTGATATGTATAAAAGGAAGTTTCCTTAAAGAAATTCTTTTAAAAAAAGATCTTGTCTTACCTATATCCACAGAATTGTTTCCTTTAAGTAGATACAGAACAACTTGAGAAAGGTTCATTTCCTAAGCTTTATTGTTCTTAAATTTCAGTTATTAAAAAATTAGCTAAGTATTATAAATTAGCTAACCAGTTGAGTCTTCCATTTTTACAAATATTTTGGACAGTTAAGAATGGGGGAAATCTAGGAGAAATTGGAAATGTTTCTTAATTCACAAGGTTTGAGAATTGTGGAGAGGATGCCGTTTCTAGGAATGGCCACAAGATGGTGTAGAAATAAATGCATTAAACATACATAAGTGTCATTCATTCAATCAATAAACAAACGTTTAATAATCTCCAACTACATGCTAGGAATAATGTTAGGCATAAGAGTTATTGAAATGATTTATTTATAGTTCCTGTCCTCAGGAAGCCTAGATTCTAGTATAGGGAGATGTACCTGTAAGAAAATAAGGACAATAGTGCGTTACAGGGACTATAATAGAACTATAGATGAGGAGGAATGGGGACCCAAGGGAAGAAGTGGGCACTTCTATAGAGAAGGGGTGAGGAGTGTGGATTTGTAAAGAAAGCACAGAGGAAATGATTCCTAAACAGAATCTTATAAACTTGGTAGGTGGTTACTAGGAAGGACATTGTGTAGATTATAGGATTGAAGGTTGTGTGGCTTGGAAATACAGGATGGATCTTTCGGAGGAAAATATGTGAGTGAAAGACCAAAAATTGACGAAACAATCTGGCATGTTTAAGGAACTTTAAGTGGTTTAATTTGATTAAGGTGCATGGTAGAGGAGGACACTGAAGATAATGCAGGCCAGATAATGAAAGCCTGACATGCTGTGGTGATATGATAGCCTTGTTTTAGGGATATCACTTTGATAGTAGTATGGATGGTGGCAGGGAGGCAGGGACATGAGCTGGGAGACTATTGTAGCCTCCAGGTGAGAGATGAGGGCTGGTACTGTGAGAATGAGAGGAGGTTAAATCCACATGACTTAGTGACTAAATGGCTGTCTGAATGAGGAAGAGGTAGTATGCTAAGAAGGCATTAAGGGTTCTAGCTTAAGGGAGTGTGATAGATGATTGACCAACATTGGAACTGCAGGAGGAAGATTGGCTTTAGGAGGAAAACATTATAATGAGTTCATAGTGGATATGTAGTTTCAGGGTTTGGCTGAGGACTGGTAGTCCAGAGGTGGGAGCTGGGGTGAAGAAAGGGAATGGGAGAAACACTGTTCCAGAGAGAGAGCTCAGTGTGGGAGGAATGGAGTAGAATGGGAGGGAGGGTGGTATGATTTAATTTGGGTTATTTAAATCTTTGTATTTTTTTCTTTTGACTGGGTGTTACAGAATTAAGTTGAGGACATATATAGTCAGACCACAAAACAGTTTAGTTTATTATTTCTAAACATTAAGCTCCAATGACACAATGCAATATTAGCATCCTAATATTCTTTCTCTCGATGTAGACCTTGGAAAGAGAAATTGCACTGTTAATAGGAGTATTTTTTGTTGTTTTTGTGACAATTAAATGCTTGGAGCTAGGGCTATGTATTTACAGAAGGACTCACCTCTGGCCTTGTGCAGTTTATGATTCCTGGTGGGTGGCACTGCCTGCTGGGATCACCTCGACAGCAGCACTGCTGGCCCAGAGCTGTGTTCTTCTGTAATCTCTCACTGTCCACCAGTCTGCTCATACTGAAGTGTTGCCAACACTTCTGCTCTATTGTCTTTGTTCGTTGTCCACATCTGCTGAAACAACTTTCAGTTATGCTAAATTGCCTGCCTGGGCAGCCTAATCTATAGCTATTGATTATGGTAGTACACTGACAACAGGTTGCATAGGTTTTTGAGAGGTAAATTTATTTCTCTTCCCTGCACCTCCTCAATTGGCCCTATATTTTTAGAGCACAATTTTGTAGAATACAGTCTTTTTCCCCCTGAATGTATATATCAAGTTATAGCAGAAATACCTGTAATGATAGTAACTAATACGTATCTAGTATTTACTATATGCCAGGTATTGTCCTAAGTTCATTACATGTATTAACAATGCTATGACTTAAGTACTATTCTAGGTGACAAAAGTAGAGGTGCAGGAAGGTTAAGTGACTTATCCAAGGTCTCACATCTGGAGAGTGACAGAGCCAGTGTTCAGAATCAGGCAGGCTCACTCCAGAGTCCATGTCTGGATATGGCTTGATGTGATGGGGCAGCGTTACCTGGAATGTCCTCCCCTTTGGATTTGGGCTGCCCACCTTTGGTCTTTATGTTCCTGCTGTCATTTTAATGGTCTTAGGAGAAACATGAGAAGAGTGTCATATAATTCCATTTCTGGGACTTAATTTATGTTTCATGAGCAGTGGTGAGTGAAGTTTAGATGTGGGTGCCCGCCCAGGAGGTGAGTGAATTCATGATCTCTGGACTTCTGTTTGGCTTGCTCATTTCTATTTGGACTCCACATAGAAATAGATTATTAAATCTTAGGACTTTACATTTTTGGACTGTCATTTAGATGTTTGATTTTCTTTTGACTATGTCTAGTATTCTAAGTGAAATTACATCCTTAGACAACTTGTTTTTGTTAAGCTAAATAGTCCTGAGGATACTTTTTAAGCGTGAAAGTACAGCAATTTATTGCAAAGCAAAAGTACACGCTTGAGGAAGGGGAATGCAGGCACATTCAGGAGAGGGAGTCGCACCTCAAGAATACTTTTAATAAAATAAATTTTATTTAAACCAATAGTTCCCAATGTCTTACAACTCTTTGCAGGTAAGCTGTACTTCTTCCTAATTTATCTGTGCCCTGAATGCTTCTTAAAAATAATTTTTTAAAAGTGTATTATTGGCCGGGTGTGGTGGCTCACGCCTGTAATCCCAGCACTTTGGGAGACTGAGGTGGGCAGAACACTTGAGGTCAGGGGTTCGAGACCAGCCTGGCCAATATGGTGAAACCCCATCTCTACTAAAAATGCAAAAATTAGCTGGGCATGGTGTGACACACCTGTAATCCCAGCTACTCAGGAGGCTGAGGCAGGAGAATCGCTTGAACCCAGGAGGCAGAGGTTGCAGTGAGCCAAGATCACGCCACTGCACTCCAGCCTGGGTAACAGAGCGAGACTCCGTCTCAAAAAACAAAAAAGTGTATTATTAAACTATTACTCAGATACTTGCTAGAATGGTAAGGAAAGACTTTATTCAGGAGTTGGACTAGCTGTCACAACTGTTGTAATAGGGGAGAGAAATTGGGGTCAACTCTTAATATAGCAAAGCCAGTTGAAGACGTATAGCCAATGAGCAGAATTAGGGGGTCAGGGTTGGAAAATTACTGAGGAGACATCAAGGGTCAGGGGGTTGTTGCCAAAACAACTTAACAGGAACTTTGCAGAAGGCAGGGCAAGGTAATCAAATATCAAGGATGGAGAGTGAAGAATTTGATCAGATATCAAGAGTGGGGGATTCTTTCTAAACTGACTTAGCAAGATTTTTGCTAAAACTGGGCTATGCAGGTCTGGCAAAGATGGAGTCAAAGATGAGGCTTAGTTGAGAAGAGAGTTCAGGAGAGCCTGATTAAAGTTTGATCAAGAAGAGAGTCTTTTTCAGTAGGAGGAGAAAAAAAAGTTTTTAAAAGAAACTTTTAAAGACAATTAACAATAGCCATGTGGATGAAATTCAGTTCTCTAAGAAGGCTGAAATGGAGAAAACTATTCTAAGACTTGTTGAGCATTCACTATTTTAAAAGTTAGGCAATATCAAGTCATCAGTTTATGTAAGGTTGTTTACCTTCAGAGTCACCATAAACATATTATGCCAAATGTATTCTCTCTTTTAATGGCCCTAGCACCAAGGACAGGTGTTCATGAAGATTTCACAGGCATATTGAAAAACTACTGGGAAATACTCATCTAGTATTTTCTTGTATATCATGTTTAAATTTACAAGAGCATACTTGCCCAGAATTCCGCATCATGGATATTCCAAGCCTTTCACACATTCTACAAGGCTCTAGTCAGGGTTTAAAAAGAAATAACATGTTACTATGCTGCAGTGATTCACCTCCTGCTGATGAGTCACCTCCTACTGATTAGAAACAGAGTAAGAGAATGTTACCAATCTGAGTTGGTTGGACTTGAAGTATCATAAAATATGCAGGGGTGGGTCTGGATACTAAGGGATCCAGTGCTCCTGAAGTTTTAATGTGCATAGTAATCAAATCATTCAGGATCTTCTTAACATGCAGGTTCTGATTCAGTGGGACTGAAGTAGGACCTCAGATTTTGTATTTCTAATGAGCTCCTGAGTGATGCTAATTTTGCTGGTCCTAGGACCATACTTTGAGTAGCAAGGACTTAACTCAATAGGAAGTAGAACTAAGTGCTCTTTTGAGCTCTTTATTTACTTTTCTCCACTAAAAGTAAGATTGAATAGTTCCTAGTTTCAAAACATATATATATGTTCTTGTCACATTGTAAAGAAAGCCAAAATTTTAAATTTATTACTTCCATACCATGGAAATGACTGTTGTTTCATGGAAATTTAGTGCATTAGTTAAAGGTGTCACTGATTCATCAGTTCTAGTATCCTTTGTAAAGAGGAAGTTTTTTTTTGAGTATAAACTCCTAGTAAGTGACAATATTACTGACAATAACATAATTGATTATAATATTACTGACAATATTTTTAGTCACAAAAATAAGGTTAGTAAAAAATAGAACTATTATATCTTGAGCACAGACTATGTGCTAGGCATTCTTCAAGGTGCTTTTTATACGTTACCTTTATAAGCCCTTATATCAACCTTGCAAGGTAGATATTATTAAATACTTTTTGATTGATGAGTGAGAAAACCATAGTTCAGAGAGTTAAGGTATCTGTAGTGAGAGAAGAGAAATTTGAACTTGGGTTTCCAAAGTTGTGTCTAATCTATTAGAACCAATTTGGTTGTTGCAATGCAAATAATATCAAAGTCCTTTATTTTCCCAGGAGGATTCTGTTCTTCGCATTCTTAGTTCATGCATTGACTGAAACAAAGGGAAAGTTAGGACTTGGCAAAATGATTCTGTCTAGGACTATTGCTGTCACATCTTTGAGGACAAAGATCAGTCAGAGACTATTTAACTATCTTATTTTCTACCTGGAAAGTTTCCCTTTTCTTGACTTTCTCTTCACATTGTAGGTAGGTAATCCTTTTTTCTTTTTTCCCCTTTTGCCCAGGCTATTTGACCATTCAACAACTGTTGGATTTGTTTGAAAAATATTCTTAGTAGCTTTTATTGGTTAATGTCCTGGGGACATGGGTCTCCTCCCGTAAAACCTTTGTGAAACAAGTCTCAATGAAACAATGAAAGCAAGGTTTCAGACCAAGTTCTTCTGTACCTACAAACATTTATTAGCAAGAAATTCAGAAGGATGATAGAACTTGTTTGTGGGGTTACCTCAATCTTTATCCTTTGGCACTCTGCACTCTTCCTAGAACTTTCCATGAAAACCTCGCTCGGAGGCAGACACAAGAAAAGGTTACATCAAAAGGAGATTAAACTGCCCTTAGGGTGTAGATTAAAACCAGTGTATATAACCAACCACAGCATCCCCCCTAATGATGCTGAGGTCTTTGGGAGTAAATGATGAATAATATGTCTAGCACAGGTTTAAACGGTCACTTGGCCCTTCCTGGGCAAAGCAAAAGAGAGAACTTAGCCTTTTCCTTAGTTGCACTTTCTCAATTAATTGTATTTTACATAAGATAATTATGATTGTTGCAATATTTACATTAGAATACTATGTCTTTTAAATTCCTGCTATTCTTACGTGGTTCCAAAACCTCCTTCTGGATTTGGGAAGAGTGAGAGGAGCTGAGCCCAGTTAGGTGTATGTTTTACTGATCTACCTGGTCTCTGCTGCTGCCTCCTGTGTCCAGGAAGGCTCCAGCCCTCAGGGAGGAGAGCTGTCCTGTATCTAAGCTTTTACCCCTCCATTATCTCTTTATTTGTTGCCAGCTTATATGGCTAGAAGCCAGATAATTTAGTTCTGCTTCCTGAATTCTCTTTAATAAAGCTTCTGTTCAGGAGCAAGTCTGTGTGCAGCAGGCATGGGGGCACCTGCCTTGTCACTTAGCTGTGACCAGCTTACCCAAGCCACAGCTTCTGTCTAGGGCCCCCTCTCATGTGGCTGATTGCAGGTTAGATTGTTAAAGAGGGTTAGCACATAGAGATTTGTTTCCTGAATTGATAACCTTTATTACCTGGAAAACGATAATAGAAAGATGATGTTTGAGTTGTTTACTAAACTTGTCTTGGTTTCCATGATGTTTGTTGGCTTTCTAACTCATGTGAACACACTAGCTGATCACTGCTCTGCCAGCAATACAGTGACCATTCTCTACTAAATAAGGGGTGTTGTTGCGTCAATTGGATGGTATGTACCAGCAAATCTGATAGCTCTAGTGAAAGGAGGATTCATACCATTGTGTCATTATTAGAGTGTTCTGTAACTGAGAATAAAACATTTATTTGATTAAGTGCCATTTACTGTGCTTCCTTTTCTAGTCAGTTTCTCATCCACACAGTCTTTGGAGCCAGATTTACCATTTAATGGGACCTAAGTTTTTATTGGAAGTTTTAAAAAAAATTCTTTTTTTTTCTTTTTTGAGACGGAGTCTTGCTCTGTCGCCCAGGCTGGAGTGCAGTGGTGTGATCTTGGCTCACTGCAACCTCCGCCTCCCGGGTTCAAGCGATTCTTCTGCCTCAGCCGCCTGAGTAGATGGGATTACAGGTGCGCGCCACCATGCCAGGCTAATTTTTGTATTTTTAGTGAAGACGGGGTTTCACCATGTTGGTCAGGCTGGTCTCGAACTCCTGACCTCATGATCCGCCGGCCTTTGAACACTAGAAAAAAACTGAGAAGATTGTTTAGTGCAACCCACCCAGCTACTAACTGGGAAAGACACTTGAACCCTCTAGGCTTTAAATTAAATATCTGGAAAAATGAAGCAGTTGGAAAAAATAATTACTAATATTTTTGGGTCTAAACTTGTATCACCGTCTTATTTTACAAAATAAAGAAATATTTGCAAAATTGGAGGCTTGCTTAGTTAGTGGGTTTAATGAGTACCAGTGGAATATATTAAAAGTTAACATTTTAAAGTGGAAAGATTTTAATATTACTTTTTTTTTTGGT